>NC_000004.12:82103199-82254714 GCF_000001405.40 Homo sapiens | reverse complement strand
GCAACAAGCAAGACCCTGTCTCAACAAAACCCCCAAAACAAAAAACAAAAAACAAAGTGTGGTGAGCAACATTGGCATCACTTGGGAGCTTGTTAAAAACATGTAGAATCTTGGCTTTCATTCCACACCTACTCAAACAGACTGAAATTTAACAAGGAGAATCTCCCAGGTGATTTGAGTATAGTTTTACATGCACTGTTCTCCACTGGTAGAATGCAAACAGTGGATGATGAGGTACGAAGTGAAGAAAAGTGGGACAGATATCAGGACTGGAACCATTTAACAGGTATTCATGGATCTATTCTGAACTTTCAATTGCCCATGCTCCAGCACTGTAGATTGTGTTTAAGAAGCCATCTGTAGTTCTTTTAGATTCTAAAAGAAAGAAGGCAGAGTGTGTCACTAATTCACCAACTTATCAATCAATCATCAAAATACAGGAGATTCTATTTTGGCCTAGCCAGCCACTGATGGTGTGACATTTAGTAGGGCATTAATCTCTGAGTCCTTAGCATCCTTATCTGAAAACAATGAGATGGTTGGGCAAGTTCATCCTTTTCAGCTTTTTGGAAGATGCTATGCTTTTAGGCAGGGTTGATAGTCAACTGGTAAACACAGGTGGCCCTGTCCCCATCTTTAGACTGGGTTTTGTTTGGACTGGCTGGTGCCAGTCACCTACTGGTACTTAGGTGGTTTGAATATTTTTCCAAACAATGATTATAGGGGAACTTGCCAGGTGCAGTGGCTCTGCCTGTAACCCTAGCACTTTGGGAGGCCAAGATGGGAGGATCGTTTGAGCCTTGAAGTTTGAGACCAGCCTGGGAAACATAGCAAGACTCTGTCGCTATCAAAAAATTTTTTTAGGCTTGGTGCAGTGGCTCACACTTGTAATCCCAGCCCTTTGGGAGGCTGAGGTGGGCAAATTGCTTGAGCCCAGGAGTTTGAGATCAGCCTGGGCAACATGGTGAAACCCCATCTCCACTAAAAACACAAAAATTATCCAGGTGTGATGTTATGTGTCTGTAATCCCAGCAACTCGGGAGGCTGAGATGAGGGGATTGCTTAAGCCTGGGAGGTCGAGGCTGCAGTGAGCTGTGATCATGCCACTGCACTTCAGCCTGGGTGGCAGTGAGACTCTGTCTAAAAACATTTATTTTTCTAAATTTAAAAAATAATGATAGGGGAGCTAAGTGTCAGGGACTGTTAGGGACTAAGTAGTACCATCATAGGTTCCAGAGTACTTGCTTGTCATGGACTCAGATACATGTCTATGTAGAACTGAGGAATCAGAAAGTTGAATTAGGCGGAGCAGAGAATGGAAGATACATGGGCTTTAGTGTCAGTCTTGGGTTTCTATGCTAGTTCTGTTGTTTACTAGTTATATGGTTTTGAGTATATTACCTGAAATCACTTAGTATCTTTTTTAGGCTATAACATGAGATTAACATAATAATAACATGTACCTCAAAGTAAAATTGTGAGGAATTAATAAGAGAATTTATGTAGAGGGTCTGGCAAGTGGCAGATGCTCAGTAGATGTTAGTTTCCTTTTCACATGTGTGTCCATACCCAAATAGCTTGTATGTAGAGCTTTACTTCTGCAAACTTCTATAAGGTGATACAGCAAATGAACAAAGACACCAGGTACCTTAATAAATTACAAAAAAAGCTAATCATTAGGGCAATTCTAGTTGGGGTGGAGGGAGGTTATACATTCACCTGAAACTCTTGCCAAAATCAAAGATGGACTTTCTTCTTTCAGCCAGTGATCTTTCAACATTTTTGCTTGCATGCTCTCTTCAAGCATTTTGAAAAAAACAAACACAAAAATAGCTATGTATTCCACATACATTTTAGAGTTGACATCTAAAATTAATCATCATAAGTTTAAATAGTTGCAAAGGATGTAATTTCTGGCATATATAAATATTGCCATTTGAAAATAAAACTATTGTTTATCTATCATAGATTAGAATATTTAAAGCAAGAAGCAAGAAGCACACTGGGAAATACCAATTTACAAGGTGGACCATTCTGAATTTTTACAGTTCTTAGTGAGAAACAGCTTGGTGAGGACTTGCTTTCCCAGCATCTCATTCTGTGTCCTGGGTGCTCCTTTAGGTTTATTTCAAGGAAGAGAAGGTGAAAGTTTACATATTTATTCCTGACAGTTCAACGCTGCATCTTTGAATAAAAGCTGGGGTTGGCAAACTTTTTTATTTTTATTTTTTTGAAGAGGAGTCTCGCTTTTGTCACCCAGGCTACAGTGCAATGGCACGATCTTGGCTCACTGCAACCTCTGCCTGTCGGGTTCAAGCAATTCTCCTGCCTCAGCCTCCCGAGTAGCTGGGATTACAGGCGCCTGCCACCACACCTGGCTATTTTTTTTGTATTTTTAGTAGAGACGGGGTTTCACCATGTTGGCCAGGCTGGTCTCGAACTCCTGACCTCAGATGATCCACCTGCCTCTGCCTTCCAGACTGTTGGGATTACAGGTGTAAGCCACCGCACCTGGCCGGCAAACTTTTTCTTTTCTTTTTTTTTTTCTTTCTTTATTTTATTATTATTATACTTTAAGTTTTAGGGTACATGTGCACAATGTGCAGGTTAGTTACATATGTATACATGTGCCATGCTGGTGTGCTGCACCCATTAACTTGTCATTTAGCATTAGGTATATCTCCTAATGCTATCCCTCCCCACTCCCCCCACCCCACAACAGTCCCTGGAGTGTGATGTTCCCCTTCCTGTGTCCATGTGTTCTCATTGTTCAATTCCCACCTATGAGTGAGAACATGCGGTGTTTGGTTTTTTGTCCTTGCGATAGTTTACCGAGAATGATGATTTCCAATTTCATCCATGTCCCTACAAAGGACATGAACTCATCATTTTTTATGGCTGCATAGTATTCCATGGTGTATATGTGCCACATTTTATTTCTCAAACTTTTTCTTAAAGGACAAAATAGTACATACTTTAGGCTTTGAGGGTCATACAGCCTCTGTTGTAATTACTCAGGTCTCCCATTGCAATGTGAATGCGGCCATAGGCAATACATAAATGAATGAACAGGCCTATGTTCCAATAAACTATGTACTCTTTTAGCAGTCACTCCTCATCTCCCCCATCACACTCATAACCCCTATGTCCCATCCTCTGCCCCCATCCCTAGGCAACCACTTACCTACTTTCTGTCTCTGTGCATTTACCTATGCTGGACTTTTGGAAGCCTAGAGCTCGCTCTGTGATTTTGTAAAAACCCAATTCTCTATATTAAATCTCTTTTTGCTTAAAATGCCTTGAGTGGTTTCTGTTTCTTGTACTGAACCCTAAGTGGTTCAGAGTTAAAGGAGAAAAATGAAGAATTTTCATCTTTTAAAGAAGAGGTTTTTGTTTTTTTTTTTTTTTTCTGAGAAGGAGTCTTGCTCTGTCGCCCAGGCTGGAGTGCAGTGGCATGATCTTGGCTCACTGCAACCTCTGCTTCCTGGGTTGAAGTGATTCTCCTGCCTCATCCTCCTGAGTAGCTGGGATTACAGGCATGTGCCACCACTCCCAGCTATTTTTTTTTTTTTAATGGAGTCTCGCTCTGTTGCCCAGACTGGGGTGTACTGGTGTGATCTTGGCTCACTGCAACCTCCACCTCCCAGGTTCAAGCTATTCTCCTGCCTCAGCCTCCTGAGTAGCTGGGATTACAAGCACGCACCACCACGCCCGGCTTAGTTTTGTATTTTTAGTAGAGACAGAGTTTCACCATGTTGATCAGGCTGGTCATGAACACTTGACCTTGTGATCCACCCGCCTCGACCTCCCAAAGTGCTGGGATTACAGGCGTGAGCCACTATGCCTGGCCTAATTTTTGTATTTTTAGTAGAGATTGGGTTTCACCATGTTGGCCAGGCTGGTCTTGAATTCCTAGCTTCAAGTGATCCGCCCTCCTCGGCCTCCCAAAGTGCTGGGATTACAGGCGTGAGCCACTGCGCCTGGCCAAGAGCTTGTTTTTTAATGAGTGATAATGAGTCTCAAATTGCTATATTTAGATTCGATTGTACACATGTTAAGACACCAATACAGCACGCCAAAAATTATCCTTTTAAACTAATTATAATAAAAATTTAGATGTTTCACTTAAAACTATGCAGAAGAGCACTAAAGTCCTAATGGCAAGCTCACTAGTTTTGCAAATTTCTTAGAGGTGAAATGCAAGTGCAGGAGTCTGAAGACTTGCTTCAGGCTGCACATGATTATCTCCAGAATGTTCTTGGAACCTAAGCCTTTGACTTTATACTTTCTGGCTTCATTCTTTAAAATATGTCTATTAGCATTACAAGTCATTTTTGTTTGATTCCTTAAATGTCAAAACACCATGTATTTATTATTTAAAACTTTCTAACAATACAGACATGAAGGTTCTACCTTTAACTACACTTTCTAGGGGTCACCGTGATTAACATATTTTATCCTTTGAGATCTTTCTCTGAGACAGGATCTGTAAGGGAAACTTACTCTGTATAGTAGATGACTTCTTGAGGTGTCTCCGAGGATCTAAGATCTACATACAAAATTAGTGTATTTCTTTGAAAGCCTAGCACAGTGCCCTACCTGTGGTACTTAAATGAATCTTTGTTGATACTCTTCTCCAATTTAAATGATTCAGAGCCGTGACAAGGAGTTAAAAAGTAAATCATTTAAGACATGAGTCTGAACTGCACATCTTTATAAGATCCTCTGCACAGCCAGTGCTTTTTTTTTTTTTGTAATTACGTTATTCACCTTTTAAAGAATGTGGATACCTATAACACAGAAATAACAAATGTCTTTTTTTGTCGTGTTATTTTTGTGATGTGAACAAAATGAGGTGATACTTTATGCTATATCATATTCAGTAAAAATAATACTGATAATACCTGAATTTATAATTGTTTTATTAAGTGCTTTATATTTTACTTCATAGGACTTTGAAATGTATCTTATTTGATCCTAGTGAGGCAGACTTAATAAGGTCATGCGCATTTTAGAGATGAGTAAATAGAGGCTAACAGAGGTTCATCAACTTGTGAAGGTCACACAGTTAGTGGTAGAACTTCAACAAAAACATTTTGACCTTAATGTTCTTTTCCCTATGAATACACCTGACATTGTCTAGCAATTGCCTTTATTAATTGGGTAAGATGACTTTGGGGGACAATTTTGAGACAGTTGGCATATGCCTCTGCAATTTTTGCTTATTATTGCATCACTTTCTCGTTTTGGAAGCCAAATGATAGTTTAGCACAGTTACTATAACTCAATAAATTAGTTGTGGCCTGATGAGGGTGCTCTTATCCAATGCATGATTTGAGAATTGATGTTCAATCTAGTTTATAACATCACATATTGCTTAAGTAAATGAGTGTGTGAGTATATTTATCTTGGACCAAATAGAGTATTTTAGTTTAGATCTTCCTCTCTTTTCCTACCTGTGCAAAGAACTGGAACCTCCACTTTCCCCCTTATTCTGAAGACACCACAGTGTAGTTTTAAAATAATAATGAACCTTCCAGAGATCAGATTGATTTAACTCTGATTCTGGAGGGAGAGTATGGGAATATGGGAAGGGAGGCTGGATCTGTCCAGCACTGAGAATGGTCAGCAGCTGAGGAAACTCCTTTAAAAAGCCCTTCTGACCCTCTTCTCCCAACCCCAGTCCTAGCAGTCCGGGCATCACATAGGTACGATTCCTTTGTGCATGTCCTCAGCTCTTAGATTAGCTTCCCTAAACTTTTGGCTGACGACAAAAGTTCTGAAGTGTAGATCTGTCCTTCTTGATTTACTGATGGAAAAATTACCTTTAGGTTCTGCTTTTGTATCCTATCTGCTCATTTATGCACTGACATGGATAACGCCTTCCTGGCTGGACCTTCTTCTCCGCTTCCGCCATCATACACACACACACACACACACACACACACACACACACACACACACACACACACGTCTCTCTCGAGCAGGTGCCGTTCCACCCCCTAATCCTGGGAGGCTCTAGATAGTACAGGAACATCCTGTGCTCTGTCAACCCATTAAGCACTTTCATTGGCTTGCCTCTGGACAATACAATAATTTATTGAAACCCATTATAACTTGGAACATTTGATTCCTTAAATTAAATAGTATCAGACAGCAGTGACTCTGCCACTTCCTAGCCTGGAAACTCTGGACAAGTTACCTAACTTCTTTAGTTTTCGGTTTCCTCTTTTACAGAGTAGGGCTAATATGATAGTGCCTACCTTAATGTGTGGTTGTGACAATTTAAAGATTCTGTAGGAAAACCAGTTCACTTATGGCCTGATCATTATGTCTAGAATATCCTTTAAAATAAACTGACTTTATACTTTGTGGCTTCAATCTTTTAAAAAAAGTTTTTTAACTTTTAGAAATAATTTTTCTTTGATTCCTTAAATCAGTGGTCCCTAATGTTTTTGGCACCAGAGACCAGTTTTGTGGAAGACAATTTTTCCATGGACTGGGGAGGTGGGGTGCAGGGACATGGTTTTGGGATGATTCAAGTGCATTACATTTATTGTGCACTTTATTTCTATTATTATTACATTGTAATATAAAATGATGTAATTATACCACTCACCATAATGTAGAATCAGTAGGAGCCCTGAGCTTGTTTCCTGTAACTAGACGGTCCCATCTGGTGGTGATGGGAGACAGTGACAGATCATCAGGTATTAGATTCTCATAAGGAGTGTGCAACCTAGATTCCTCACAGGCACAGTTCACAATAAGGCTTGTGCTCCTATGAGAATCAAATGCTGCTGCTGATCTGACAGGAGGCGGAGCTCAGGCAGTAATGGGAGCCATGGGGAACAGCTGTAAATACAGATGAAGCTTTGCTCACTCACCTGCCACTCACCTCCTGCTGAGCAGCCCAATTCCTAACAGGCCATGGACTGGTACTGGTCTGTGGCCTGGGGGTTGGTGACCCCTACCTTAAATGATAAGACATCATGTATTTATTATTGATATATGACAAATACTCAGTATTGTTAAACATACTTGGTCATAGGCACCAACTTTAGGGACCAGGGTATTTTGGAGTGGGGGCAGGACTAGTAAGAATAATCTTAGGAACAATAGCTTGAAATAGGGACCAAAGAATAGATCCTATAAAGTCAAAAGCAGGAACTTAATGATAAAAACTTAGGGTAGGGGGAGAGATTCAGGGTCCACACAGGAAATTAGTTATCATTTTGGGATATAGCATCTTGGGTATAAGTGGCAGTAAAGGGTGCTCGGATTACATTGGGAATCCCAGTCATTCCCTCCCTAAGCAGCCTAATAGGAAGGATGACTCAGTGTGAAACCTCCCCAGGTTGAGTGCTGGAGCAGCTCAGGGAAACTCGGATCAGTCCATGCATTATACTCAGAAAGGCAGAGGTAGAAAAATCTACAGATTGGCACCTGAAATGATAAAATACAAGTATTTGCCTTCCTCCCCCAGCGTTTTACTCTTTCACAGTTTATTTTTATACATTTGAGATGATGTAGGTGCCCAGGATTTTTCTAGTCAAGAAAGTGCTCATTTGGAGATCTCAGATATTTTTGGTTTGGCACACTCTTTATAGTAATGGATTACTGAATTCCAGAGCATTTGAAATGATACAATTGATATGATTTTTAGTGCTGAAAAAAGAGGACTCTCCCAATATATATATAACCTTTCAGTGATGTTCTTTTTCTTACCATCACTAAGTTGGTGTTTTAAACTTATCCTTGTCTTCTTTCTCTGTTTTCAGCTTCTTAAATGCTGCATTGAAAGGATGAAACAGAACGGATGTGAACAAGAGTTCCCTGAGAAAGGACAGCTCTTAGAGAGATAGGATAATTACTGGACTCAAGAAGATACCAAATCATGGTGTGCATTTCTGCGTTGTGTTTGGAAGAGGAACTAGGATTGTTATGAAAAGGAAGGATGTGTTCAACTTAGAAGAATTAAACCTCAACCATCTGTCTCTTCCAAATGGCATTCTTGATTCTAAAAATCTTAAGTAGAGTGTAAAGTTATTGTTGGATACTGTAGTAGCCAGGCTAAGCTGAGCTATTCAGTGGAACAGATAAACCCGAAAATCTCAGTGGCTTAACACAACAAGATTTATTTCTTTTTAGTATCACAATCTGATGTAGATTGGGTTGGTCTCCTGCTTGGCTTTCCATCAAGTGACAGCTCAGGGATCCAAGTTGCTTTTATTTGGAAACTGTCATCTTGAGAGCATTTTGTTTCCAGCTGTATGGACAGGAGATCCAGAAGGTGTGGAGAAGTGCATCCTTCCTGGATCACAAATGATACATCACTTTAGCTCACATTCCATTGTTAAGAATTAGTGACATGATCCCACTGGGATTCATGGGGTCTGGGATATGGAACACTTGGATATTTGGCGAGCATGAACAATCTTTGCCATAGAAACATTGCCTCTATAATGTTATTCTATATCCCTTATCTTCTCATGGTAGATTTCACATAGGATTAGTATCAGGAAAACGTTTTTCTCTCCTAAAATGTTGGTATTCTTCTTTTTTCCCTCTGGAGTCAGGAACTTTAGATTTAATATTAATGACTATCTAATCTGAGATTTTTAGTAGCATCATGTATCCTATTTCTCTATTGTGTTTCTGGAATAGTTTTATTATTGTATTTTAACTGACTAACTGTATTTGATTTTTTAAAAATTGCCATAATCCTTTCTAGTTTTAGCTGTTCATTTAATGAACACTTACCAATAGCAGATGTGTTGATAAGGATGAAGGATGTTTTTGGCTGCAACAGAAAAACTAATAAGTGGTTTAAGCAATAAGAGTTTAATTATCTGACACAAGAAGTCTGGCAGTTTCAGGATAGGTTAATTCAATGGTGTGATATCATAGAGGATCATGTATACTCACTTTTTCTGTTTTATAAACTTCAGCGTTTGATGGTGTTCCCCCTTCCTGTCACATACAGGTTAGTAGTTCCAAGTGTTGCTTGTCATGGTAGACCCTAGTCAGGCCTGGGTCTTGTGACGCAGGAGACAAATATGCTCATAGACTTGTCGTTATGACATGGCTGCAGTGTGGTGCCACCAGGCCTGCATCACGCCTACTCATCATATAATATTAGATTATATAGTCTGTGGAAAATGTTGCAAAATGATACTGGTGGCAGGGTCAGAAATTGTATTCAGACTTTGATGTTAGATCCAGGCAAATGGCTTGTTGAAAAGAGATTTCTCTTTAGAGAGAAATCATGTTGGTGTACCAGGTGACATGTTTGGTTGGGGGTGGGGTGGGGGGACTGCTTGGATAGCATGGTAGTGATAGAAGTGTGATAAGCTGGATGCTGGATATAGTTAGAAGGATTTACTGATCAATTGGATGTGAGGAGTGATATAGAGAGAGATGTTGGGAATGACTCCAAGTTTTGGCCTGAGTGATGGGAAAAATTGAGTTGCTATTTATCAAGATAGGGAAGACCAATGAGTTTGGTGCTGTCATAAAATAAAATGTATCAGATTTTTAGCAACAACTGGAAGTAAGACATTGCAAGGAGTCTGGGCTGGGCTGAGATAGAGTTCAGATGGGGAGCTGGAATCAGACTGCTGCCCCAGGTCCTGGGACCCTGCCATGCAGAAAAGACACCTGGCATGGGCAAGGACTCCAGTATGCCGGAGCCTCTTCCTCCTTTCTCAGGCCAAATTTGTGTCCTTGCAAAATTTGGCTACAAATGTTAAATTTACAAAGACCTCTGATACCCATTATCCCACCCAACTCTCTGGAGAGCCTTTGTAATGTGGTAACTGCTCTTATGCACATAGCCAAAGACTTGAAAACAGTCTCAGAAAAGCTGTAATTTCTACCTTCATTCATTTAAAGAAAACTTACTAAACACTTATTTATTTATTTTTATTTTATTTATTTATTTATTTTTGAGGCACAGTCTCAGTTTGTTGCCCAGGCTGGGGTGAAGTGGCACGATCTCGGCTCACTGCAACCTCTGCCTCTCGGGTTCAAGCGATTCTCCTGCCTCAGCCTCCCAAGTAGCTGGGACTACAGTCATGCACCACCACCCCCGACAAATTTTTGTACTTTTGGTGGAGACAGGGTTTCACCATGTTGGCCAGGCTGGTCTCGAACTCCTGACCTCAAGGGACCTGACTGCCTCTGCCTCCCAAAGTGCTGGGATTACAGGCATGAGCCACTGTGCCTGGTCCCAAACATCTATTAGGTACTTGCTGTATGTGGTGAAATAAACCCCAGCTCTCCTGATTCAAGGTTAGTGTTCTTTTCACAAATCTACTTCAATACATCAAATCCTACTTCTCTTTCTTTCTATATTTAACTCATAAATATTCCTCTTCTGTCATTTGTGGTTTTGAAATGTCTGCAAACTCATGGATACTATTCACTTCTAATGAATAGAATAAAGCAGAAGTGATGGAATATAACTTCAGAGGCCATTTCATGAAAGCCACTGTGGCTTCCTACTTGTTCTCTTGCTCTCTCTCTTAGAACACTTGCTCTGGGGAAAGCCAGCTGCCATATTGTGAGCAGACCTATGAAAAGGCCCACTTGGTGAAGAACTGAGGCCTCTGGCTGATGGACACATGGGTGACCTTGCAATCAAGTCTTCTGGCTTCAACCAAGCCTTCAGCTGAGACTGCAGCCTCATGAAAGATCCTGAGCTAGAAGCATCCTGCCATCCTAATAAGCCACTCTTGAATTTCTGACCCTTAAAAATTGTGAGATAAGCACCTGTGCTTTTTTTAAGTGTTAGATTTAAAAAACCCTGAAAAAATAAAGAAGAAAAAAGACAACTCATAATCTCACCACATTAAAAAGAATAGCTATAGAAAAATTCCAGTAGTATAAAAAGGAAAAATGGAAATAACTTCCCACCATCCCTGATCTTTAGTTCTTTTTCCCACAGTGACATTTTCTTTCCCAAGAAATGTTCATGCATATGCAATATATGTGTAAACCCTTTAAGATGTTCACAAAAGGATCATGTTACACTCATTCGAAAAACTTAATATTATATCTTGAAGGTGTCTTCATATCAGTATATATATATCTATCTTAGTTTGTTAATAGATTTCCCATAATTTAAATGTACCATATTTCTTTTACCAGTCCCCATATATGGACATTTAGGATATTTCCAGTATTCTTTTCTGTTATAAAAATATGGTGATAAACATTTTCATGCTTTTTTGAGTATCTTCAAGTAAAGTCCTATGGGTAGCATTCTGGCATCACGTTGTATATGCATTTAAAGTTGATGCTATTCACTTGTTCCACAATCTTTGCTCCGAGTTTACACTGATGAAGCATGAGAATGCTATATCCCCACAAACCTGTGCATATTGTTGATAGTAAGCATTGTTTGCTATTTTCTGACTATTCATTTTTCTTCTTTTGAGAATTGCCATGCCTAGAAGAGTGCCTGTCTTGTAATATATAAGATAATAACTTGATAGCTAGCATTTCTGAGGCTTCTTGTGCCTTTAACGTATATTTACTGTTTTGATACTTACAAAGACCCTATGAAGTACGTACTATTATTATCTGCTTATGGCTGGTGGGAAAACTGAGCTGTACAGAATTTAAACAAACTGTCCCAGGTCACACAACTAGGAAGGGTGGAGCCAGGATGCAAATGATACGGAATTTTAAAAAATGGGTAGTTGAGTGAATGAATAAATGGATGACCTGTTTACATCCTTTCTCATTTTTAATTGAATTTTGTTTCTTTTTCTTTCTTATTTGTAGGATCTTTGTATATATTATGAACATCAACTTCTTTCCTTTTCTACATGTTGCAGATATTCCCTCTGGTCTGTTATTTGTCTTTAACTTATTTATTTGCCACCTTTTGATATTCATTTCTTATTCACATTAGAAAACCCTCAAAGTACTTAAAACTATGACTCCAGATATTGTTGTTAGAACATGTTTGAGGAAAATAGTGATGATAATTTAGGTGTACAGAGAAATTCTGACGTGGGTAATACAGAGTCTCCCTAAGTTAATCTAAACATGAAAAATAACCACAGGGGAATTAGTCGCTTTGTTCACACTGCGGTACTTTAACATTATAATTCCCCTTTAGGCATATTTATAATTGAAAAAGAAGGTGTTGGGGGCTTTTATATTATTAGATTGACATTTGGGGAAATGAATTTTTACTTTATCTGCAACAAATGAATCCCAATTAGTTAAGTGGCTCTGGGCTAAAGGAAGTATAGTGACTTTCTCATTTTCTTTCTACTTTTTGAAATGCCCTTCCTTCCCATTCCTATGAACTTCTCTCATCCTGCTGAGCCAAGTCACATTTCGCTTTGCTTGAGGCCTCTAACCCTTCTCTGATGTCCTGAAGGATTCTTCAGGGAGACTCTATGGCAAACGTCTTTCTTTCCTGTGACAGCCCCACATTTGATTAGGTGTTCACTTTCCCTCCTGTGTCCTCAGGAATGTGATCATATCTCTAGCTTCGGAGTTTAAGTTTGAATTAGTCTAAGCCTAAGCCAGTGTTCTCAAACTCTAGCATGCATGAGATTCACTTGGGGAATGTATTAAAACACAGGCTGCTGAGCTGCACCCCCAGAATATCTGATTCCATAGGTCTTGGGTAGGGCATTTCTATCAAGTTTTGAGGGAATGCTGATGCTGATGGCCCAAGGACCAAACTTTGAGAATCAGTGTTCTAAGCCAGTCATGATGATCCAGTATTCTTTGCCCAGGATTCGTTTAGGAATGGACATGTGCCCCAAATCCTGGTCAATGGCACTGAGGGGACGTCTTCTGTAGAAGGGTTGTCTCACTAATAAATGCATGGATGGAGACCCTCCTTCTTTGCTGGGTATATTCCTGGGTTTTTGTAACATTTGGAAGTTCTGTGGTCAGTTTGTGAGCAGAAGGAAAGACTGTTGATAAATTGAGGATTGCAAAGTGAGCAGAAGAGTGGAGAGGATCTTGATCCTGGATGATGTCATTGTGCCACTGAAGAGCCAGCTCTGGATCCAGCCTAACCCTGGGCTTTTTTGTAGAGTTGTCATAGATACTTTGTGGAGTTTTATTAATAATTTGTGTTAAGCATTAAATAGCATTACATCTATAAAATACAGAGAATAACAATATATGAACACGCATTCACACAAAGCCTAGCATAAGAAAATGATATTACCATTACCCTTGCGGTCTCCCAAAGGCAATAATGGGTATTGAAGGTAATAAGGGGATGGAAGCTCCTGCTTCCCCTAACAAAATTTCCATCCCTGTAAAATTTGTGTACATCATTCTCTGGCTTTGTGTATGTGTTTTCAGTTCATTTGTTTTTAAATGTTTTTTTTTCCCACATGTATTTGTATTCTTAAAAGTATATTACTTAATTTTGCCTGGTCTTCAATATTGTACACATGGTATCATACTGCATATTTTTTTAACTTGTTTATGCTGGACATTATGTTTCTCAGATCCATTCATGTTGTTATTGCAATTTATTTGCTTTTACTGCTATATTCTGCTACATGACTCTTCTGTTAATGGATATTTTGATTGTTTCTAGAGTTTTCTATTCTTTCTGTATTTCTCCCTCTCTTTCTCTCCCTCTTTTTTTTTTTTAGAGTCAGGATCTTGCTTCTGTTGCCCAGACTAAGGTCCAGTGGCATGATCATAGCTCACTGCAGCCTCAAACTCTTGAGTTCAAGCCGATCCTCCCACCTCAGCCTCCTGAGTAGCTACAGGAGAGCACCACGACTCCTGACTATTCTTTTTTATTTTTAAAATTTTATTATTATTTTTTCCAAATAAAAAAAATAGAGACAGAGTCTTGCTATGTTGTCCAGGCTGCTCTCAAACTCCTGGGTCAAGTGATTCTTCTGCTTCGGCCTCCCGAAGTGCTGGGATTACAGGCACGAACCACCGTTCGTTCTTTCTTTCTTTCTTTCTTTTGTTCTTTCTTTCTCTCTTTCTTTCCTTCTTTCGTCTTTTCTTTCTTTCTTCTTTCTCTTTCTCTCCCTCCCTTCCTTCCTTTCCCTCCTCCTTCCTTCCTTCCTTTCGTTCTTTCTTTCCTTCTTTCTTTCTTTCATTCCCTCCCTCCCTCCATTTCTCTCTTTCTTTCTTTCCTTCGTTCCTCCCTCCCTCCCTTGCTCTTTCTTTCTTTCTTTTTCTTTCTTTCTTCCTTTCTTTCTCTTCCTTCCTCTCTCTCTTTCTTTCTCTTTTCTCTTCCTCTCTTCCTTCCTTTTCTCTCTCTCTCTCTCTCTCCCTCTCTTCTTTCCAGGGTCTGGTTATTCATGTGATCTCGGCTCACTGCAGCCTCAACTTGCCAGGCTCAAGTGATCCTCCCACCTCAGCCTTCCAGGCAGCTGGGACTACAGGCACACACCACTGTGCCCAGATAATTTTTATATTTTTCATAGAGATGGGTTTCGCCACATTGCCTAGACTGATCTCAAACTGCTGAGCTGAAGCGATCCTCCCATCTTGATCTCCCAAAGTGCTGGGATGACAGGCTTGCACCACTATGACCGGCAGTCTCCTATTTCCTATGGTGAACATGTGAGAGTGTTTTTCTACGGCAGCATTTCTCGAGTGATGTGCTTTGCACATTGCTGTGCTGCAAATGGGTTACAGGGGTGTGGAGATACTGATTCCCTCTGGCCCTTGGGGTGACTGGGCAGGGCCTGGGCAGTGATAGCCCTGGAGCATGTCACCCCCTGGCCCAGTCAACTCTGGTTCAGAGCAAGGAAGGCTTCCCTAAAGATGGAATTGCTGGGCTGCAGGAAGGTACTTTTCAACCCTGCTAAGGATGAAGTGATTCCCAAGATGCTTATATTTATTTATCCTCTTTCCATGGAAATAAGTGGTCTCTTGTTCTACATCCTTGAGAATCCTTGCTGTCTGACTTTAAAATTTTTGACGATATGTTGTTGTGAAATATTTCACTGAGATTTTAATTTGTATTTATATGATTATATTTTTGTATGTTCATTAGCTATTTGGCTTCCTTCTCTGAAATACTTAATTTTTTTGCCTGTTTTTTCCTATTTTTTTTTCTATTGGATTCCATGAATTTTACTTACTTATTTTTAGAAGTTCTTTATATATTTTAGATGTGAATTCTTTAATAATTATATAACCTACAAAGATCTTTCAGTGAAGACTTAATTTTTGACTCATTTTATTGTGCCTTTTGTTGAATAGAGTTTCTTAATTTTAAGTTACTCAAATTTATTATTTTATTTTATGGCTTCTGCTTTTTGTGTCTTGTTAAATAAATCCTTACTTTGAGTACACATTATCTTCTAACAGTTTTATAATTTTGCCTTTCACAGCTAAATGTATAATCCACCTGGAACTGGTGTGAGGAAAGAGGTCCAATTTATTATTATTACTATGATTATTATTTGAGGCGAGGTATTGTTACATTGCCCAGGCTGCCTTTGAACTCCTGGACTCAAGTGATCTTCCTGCCTCAGTCTCTTGAGTAGCTGTGACTACAGGTGCACACTCCTGTGTGCAGCTTTTATTATTTTTTTAATACAGTTAACCAATTATCCTAGGAGTATTTATTGGTGTCTGCCCTCTTCAGTGATCTATCTTACCAGCTCCATCGTATCAGGTTTCCATATGTGTGAAAACTGCCTATCCCTTCACCAATACCAGTATCTTAAAGCCTTGTAATAATTTTTGATATCTGGTAAGATAAGCCCCTTCACCTCCAACTTGTTCTTCTTTATTGCTTTCTTGGCTATTCTTAGCCCTTTGCTCTTCCATATTTTTTTTTAGAATCATGTAGCCAAGATCTGAAAAAGAGTAGCTTTTGGGAATTTGATTAGTGTTACATTCAAACCATGGATTGGTGTGATGAGAATTAACTTTTTTTTTTTTTTTTTTTGAGACAGAGTCTCACTCTGTCACCCAGGCTGGAGTGCAATGGTGCGATCTCAGCTCACTGCAACCTCTGCCTCCTGGGTTCAAGAGATTCTCCTGCCTCAGCCTCCCTAGTAGCTGGGATTACAGGTGCACGCCACCACGCCTGGCTAATTTTTGTATTTTTAGTAGAGACGGGGTTTCACTGTGTTGGTCAGGCTGGTCTTGAACTCCTGACCTCGTGATCCACCCACCTTGGCCTCCCAAAGTGCCTGGATTACAGGCGTACCACCACGCCTGGCCTGATAATTAACATTTTTATGATACTGAATTTTCTAATCTGTTAATATGATATTTAGCCTTTTTTTTTTTAAAATGAAGTTTTATAGTTTTATCAGAAAGGTATTGCTCATCTTCTAATAAGTTTATTATTAGGGACTTTATATGTTTTAGTGCTATTATATATGGTACGTATTCATTAAATATTTCCTTTTTGTTGAGAGTGAATGGAAATGCAATAGATTTTTATACCTTGATTTTGTATTGTTCAACTTTGCTAAACTCTTTTATTAACTCTCTTATAGGTTATTATTTAATCTTTTACATAGACAATTACATCATCTGTAAACATGACTGTTTGTTTCTTCCTTTTGATTCTTTATTTTTTTTTCTTGCATTACTATGCTGGTTAGGATACCCAACCAATGTTGAGTAAGAGTGGAAGTACAGGAACTCTTGTCTTCTTCCTAATCTTAAAGTGAATGCTTTTGGTATTCTTTTTTTTTTTTTTTTTTTTTAGTCAGTCTTGCTCTGTCGCCTAGGCTGGAATGCAGAGGCGTAATCTTGGTTCACTGCAACCTCTGTCCTATGGGTTCAAGTGATTCTCATGTCTGAGCCTCCTGAGTAGCTGGGACTACAGGCACCCGCCACCACGCCTGGCTAATTTTTGTATTTTTAGTAGAGACAGGGTTTCACCATGTTGGCCAGGCTGGTCTCAAACTCCTGACCTCAAGTGATCCGCCTACCTCAGCCTCCCAAAGTGCTTGGATTACAGGCATGAGCCACTATGCTCGGCCACTTTCAGTGTTTTATCATTAAGTGTAAAGTTTGCTATAGGTTTTTATAGATATTCTTTATTTTTATTTTTAAGTTTTGGGGTACATGTGCAGGATGTGCAGGTTTGTTACATAGGTAAACATGTGCCATGGTGGTTTGCTGCACCCATCAACCCGTCACCTAGGTATTAAGCCCAGCATACATTAACTATTTTTCCTGATGTTCTCCCTCCCTTTACCTCATCCCCCACAGGTCCCAGTGTGTGTTGTTCCCCTCCCTGTGTCCATGTGTTCTCATCTTTCAGCTCCCACTTATAAGTGAGAAAACGTGATGTTTGGTTTTCTGTTCCTGCATTAGTTTGCTGAGGATAATGGCTTCCACTTCTATCCATGTCCTTGCAAAGGACATGATATTGTTCCTTTTTATGGCTGCATAGTATTCCATGGTGTATGTGTACCAAATTTTCTTTATCCAGTCTATCATGGTTGGGCATTTGGGTTGATTCCATGTCTTTGTTAGTGTAAATAGTGCTGGAATGAACATATGTGTGCATTATCTTTGTAATAGAATGATTTATATTCCTTTGGGTATATAACAAGTAATGGGATTGCTGGGGTCAAATTTTTATAGATATTCTCTACTAGGTTAAGAAGTTCTAGTTTGCTAAAAGTTGCTGTTATGAGATTTATCAAATACTTTTTCTGCATCTGTTGAGGTAATTGTATAATTCTTTCCATTAATTTTTAATGTGGTAAACTATATTTTCTGATTTTCTAATATTAGACTAAGTTTTCATTCCTGGGGTAAAACCAACTTGTTTGTAATATATTTTCTCTTTTATGCATTGTTCTATTGTTCACCGATATTTTCCTTAGGATATTTGCATCTGTGTCCCTGAGAAATACTGGGCTGTAATTTCTTTTGTCCTTCTGCCCTCGACAAGTTTTTGAATCAAGGTTTTGCTAGACTCGTAATAAAACGAGTTGACTTGTAGATGTATCACTCCAATCTCTGCCTCCATCACCAAGTGACATTTTCTTCCTGTCCGTGTGTCCAAATTTCTCTCTTCTTTTAAAGATACCAGTCACTGTATTAGGGCCCACCGTAACTCAGTATGACCTCATCTCAACATCTGCAAAGACCCTATTTCCAAATAAGGTCACATTCATGGGTATCGGGAGTTAAGACTTGAACATATCTTTTTGGTGGACACAATTCACCCCGTAACATAAATATGTATATTTAAGTCACCTAAGTCTAAAATTAGCCAATGTCTTTACTTTCCTTTAGACAACATAATGATGGTAGAACATTTCACTGCTTTCTGTCTCCTTAACTTATGTGGTATCATTGCTGTTTTTCTTTACCACACAAGTCCTTTTTATTATTGTGTTTATAGTCTGCATTTGTTTAGATTTAAGCATGCATTTGCCACTTTGGTTATCAATCCATTATCTTCTTGTCCACATTATTGCTGTTGCGTAGTCAGCTCACAGTCCAATTGCCATTCCTCTGCCTTTCATTAGGGTGTTTTTTAAAAAAGCTTTACTTTTTCTTTTCTGTTCTACAGTTTCAATATAATTTGTTTAGCTGTGTTTTATATATCTTGTTTGAAATTCATTGGAATTCTCGAATCTGTGGATTGGTATCTTTTTATCAGTTCTGGAAAATTCTTAGCTATTATATCTTCAAATATTGCCTCTACTCTCTCTCCTCTCCCTTAAAAAAACTCTCCTATTAGAGGTTTATTTTTAGTCCCTTTCATTCTTTCTTCCATGACTCAATTTTATTTCATATTTTTCATCTTTTTGACTCTGTTTTCTATTGTGGATAATTTTTTTTCAGATTCATCTTCTAGTTCACTAATTCTTTTGTCAACTATGATACAGTTTTTTCAAATCTACTTGGAGATTTTTATAGTGTGGTGCTCTTATGTTTTCAATGCCTTCATTTATTCTTTATATTATACTATGTTGTATTATACTTATAGCAAGATGCATCAGAGTATTCTAATAGCTGAGGTCTTGCAGATCTGATTCTGCGAACTGCTCTTTCTGCCTCTAGCATATGTTGTTCCTGTATGTGTTCTGTATCTCTTTTGTATGTATTATGAACTCATATTTTTTTGAACTTATCTGTGATCATTCCTTTTAGTTTAGGCTGAAGGTAGCTTACATCATGGAGGATTTGCCCTTGTATCAGGTAACTGCAGGTATCACCAGCCTGGGGCTATTTTAAATTCTGAGTGAAGTTGAATTTTTTAGGTAGGAATTTGGGCTGCTATGAGGGCCAACTTGTAGATACAAAAATTCTCAGGGTTGATATTTAACACCAGGATTGAAATTTCCCTTTTGGAGATCTGGTTTTGTTTTTCTACTCCACATGAATTTTGAGGGTGTAGTTTCTTTGGGGATAGGCAGTTCCTGCTCTGTGTGGGACCATCTTCTATGTGCCTCACTTCTTGGGATGGCTTGTCATTGACTTCTATCCTCTATGGCCTGTGTGTTAGTCCAGTCTCACACTGATATGAAGAATTACTGGAGACCGGGTAATTTATGAAGAAAAGAGGTTTAATTGACTCGCAGTTCCACAGGTTTACAGAAAGCATGACTGGGAGGCCTCAGAAAACTTACAATCATGGCGGAAGGCAAAGGGGAAGAAAGGACCTTCTTCACATGGTGGCAGGAGAGAGACAGAGAACAAGGGGAAAGTGTCACACACTTTTAAACCATCAGATCTTGTGAGAACTCACTCACTATCACAAGAACAGCAAAAGGGAAATCCACCCCCATGATTCAATCACTTCCCACCAGACCCCTCCTCCAATTCGACATGAGATTTGCGTGGGGACAGAAAGCCAAGCCAAATCAGCCTGTGAGGCCTTGAAACTCTCATGGCTCAGCTTCATACAGTTCAGTGAATCCTTCAAGGTGAAAGGCAGCTTCTGTGTTCTTCCTCTCTGGTCACCATTTCCACCAAGTGTTTTTTTCGCTCTGAATATTTATTACTAATTGGAATACTCAGCTTGTCATTTAGAAGACTAAAAATATTTTATTCAGTGTTGTCTATTGTTTACAATGGTAGTGTTAGCCATAGTACTTAGTCATCCATGTTGCTAGAATTGGAAATGCAACACCTTAGTTTAATTGGCTCTTATCTTAATTGCTACATTTAATTGGCTCTTATGTTAAGTGCAGTTGAAAGCTAGCTGACTTACATGCTATTTAGTATTTTTTTAATTTAATTTTTTTATGCCTTGCCCCCTCTGTGTGAAAGTATCTTATAAGTAGGGACTCTGTCTCATAGTTATTTATTTATCTATCCTTTATTTTCTGGAGTGATTTAAAATTTCCTTCTTTTTGTTCTATGAACACCATCAAAAATTCCATTGTGGTGTAATCTACATTGTATCATACAGATTGGATATTACATCCAGAAATTGACACAAAATAATTTCTCAGATAATGTCTTGATATGTACTATGTAAAATATGACCACCATCTTAGATGATTTCTGTGTTTTTGTTTCTAAAGACTGTACACATAAAACAGATCCAAGTGTATAAAAAGTTCGCATGGATGCATAAAGATACGTTTGCAGTTCTACGCTTCAGGTAAGTGGGTTTGTGAGGAAGTCTGGTACATGGACTTGGATGTCAGACTGGCCTATTTGGGTTATGCTTTTTCTGCACTGTACTAACTACATGTACTTGGTAAATGACTTAATTTCTTGACCTTCAGTTTCCTAATTTGCAAGATGGGGACAATCATTCTGATCTTGTGGAGTTGTTTTATTAATAATGTTTGCAAAGAGTCTGTCAGATGGTAGGCACTCCAATTATTATTATAGTTGACTTGACCATTTCCGAGGGCATCTAGCCTAGTAGCAACTTGATTTTTAGGTATCCAAGCCCTACCACTAGGCTCCTAATAGTCACATTCTTAGTTAAGACTATCCATGTACCTCCTGGATTACTCTGCTCCTATCTGTCAGTCCCATAGCAACTACCCATTTTATGGGCCAGCACCCTAAATGGGAGTAGGAAGTCAAGTAGATGTTGCAACAGGTGCAGCCTTGACCCTCATTCTCTAGGCTTCTGTGTCTTGGTGAATGTGGCTGCTTCCAGGTGTTGCATGGTGAATATTACTATGGCAGAAAATCCCTTGTTCCTTTTTAGTTAATCAACGGAAGAATATTCTTTGAATTTCTTATTAAGACCAAGCCATTCAATATTACTTCTAGTCACTGGTGAAATTTATTTAAGAAGATAGGGAGACTTTGCCAGAGGGTGACCTTCATGAGTTTGTCTTTTGCTTTCTCAACACAGACTCAAGGAGAAGTCCTGAGAATAGCCTGGAAGCCTAAGGCTGTAGAACTTATTGTCGTTCCTCAGGCCACTTACACCTTAACCAAATATGAAGAAAATTGAAATTCAAAATAAGCTTTGATGAAGTCACCATTTTTCCTCATTTACTTCTACATTTGATGTGTATAGTCAATAGTGTTTGATAATATTCATATGACTACTTCATGTATTATTACCACTTATTCATTTAAAATCTAATTTATCTATAGGGCAAGGGTTTACTTGTGAAAACTCTGATTCTAGAAACCATTAGAACTTTTCAAATACAGATTTTCAGTGCACTTCTAACCACTTCAAGGCTGGCTTCCAAATCTGTCCTAGTGGTACTATGGAAACATTTTAGTGTTGTGCATGAGTCATATAATTATAAATTATAACCTCTTGCTCATTTTGATACTTTTGGTATTCTTAAAAAAACTTGAAAGGGCAGGGAAAATGCTTCACGGGGAAAAACAATATAGTAATTTTCTTTTCTTTTCATTGAATCAATGTCAATTTATTTTAATTATTCTTTATTTGCTTTATTTAAACATTTAAAAAAAAGTCTTTTTTTTTTTTTTTGAGACAGGGTCATGCTCTGTTGGCCAGACTGGAGTGCAGTGGCATGATCATTGCTCACTGCAGCCTTGAACTCCTGGGCTCCGTTAATCCCCCCCTCCTCAATCTCCTGAGTAGCTGGGACTACAGGTATGCACAACCATGACTGGCTAATTTTTAAATTTTTTTTGTAGAGGTTGAGTGTCACTATGTTGCCCAGGCTGGTCTCAAACTCCCAGACTCAAGGGATCCTCTCGCCTCAGCCTCCCAAATTTTGGGTTTACAGGTGTGAGCCACTGCATCCAACCTGTAATTTATTTTAGTTGTTTAAAGTGTAAGTCACTCAAATTGCCAACCAATCAAAAAAATCAGTCTTGAAGTAGACAACAATATAGAATTCCCAAACTAGGCTTTGCTCCAGTTTTTTTCTTTTTCTTTTTTTTAAGGAGAATCCGATTCTAAATACAGTTTCTTATCAATTTACAGATCGTTAGAAGTCACATGTTTTAAACCAGTTTGGATTTTCTGTGATTATCACTCAAACTTATTTACTAATTATTTTTCTAAGTAGGAAGATAAATCTCTACTCAGTCTTTCCCCCTCTGATGGTCCCATAAGAAATCATTTTGCTATTAGCCTGGAAATGTTCCAAAAACCTAACAGTGTCTGCAGCATGGTATCAAGGGAGACATCAGATGTTAGTTCAAATGTGACTTTTATGCTCTTGATCCCACATCTGAAAGTAAAGATGCAATGTATCTCTCAAAAGGTGGTGCTGAATAGGAGTGTTCTATCTCTGTCAGCTCATCAGCCTCTGGGGAAGTACAATCTAAAAGCTCTCAGTGGGCTCCTGGGCATTGCCTTTAATCTGGGTCTTTTTTTTGGGTCTTGAAATATGGCAGTAGTAACCAATTTAAAGCAAGCAAATGCTAATCATGCAGAAGCCAGCTGTATGAGCAGCTCTCATCTGGGGATTTAAAAACTCTTTGCAAAACACAAGTCATTAATCTTCACAGTGGTCCTTTGGAGTCATAAACATTCATCACCACCCATCTTTGCCACTGGGAAATCTGGGATTTCAAAGCCTTGGTGCAGGGCTGCCCCCAAGGTCCTAGGCAGGTCCCGTAATCCAAGCTGTGAGCAGACCATAAGGCTCTGGAATTAATGTAGTGAGCAAGGCACAATGGGCCAGTGGGGACTTGTGGCTGACAGGATGGGGCCACTTTTGGGTCTGTGAAAGTACTGGCTCTACCTGGACCCTGTTCAAATGCTCTGTGTTATCTGAGGAAGTGTTAATGGGAAACAGAGTGAGCTGTTACTTTTGGCTTTGGTCTCTCCGTTTCCCTGATTATTTCTCTCTCTATAGGTCTGTCTTTCCTACGATCACTCTCTTAATTTGATTTATCATGTCTGAAGTCATAGATTCCTGGCCTTTTAGGACGCAAAGAATCCTCAGAAATCTACCACTTTTAGTCTCTCCATGAAATTGGGCAGGGGTGAAGTTATTGGCAGTGAAGTCTTAGGCATAAGGGAAGAACTCTATTCCTGTTTCTTTACCTTTTCCCCTGAAAATTCTTGGCCCATGGCAGGTGCTTCATAAGTATGTTCTGAATAAATGTATGAATGAGTAAAACCATGTTGGGGGTAGGGGTTGGAAGAAAAGGAATCATGGCAGTGGTAATTGTTCCAACATTGTTCAGGTAAGGCTCAGAGATTTGTTGAAGATCCTTGTCTTCAGGTTGCTATCCTAGTGGCTAGGTACCTTTAACCTGCTCACATCCCTAATTTTACAGAACAAAATACTAAGGACCACAGAGACTTTAAGTGATCTGCCTAAAGTCTCGTAATTCTTAAAAATGCAGGCATATAGCAAAATATGAGAAATCACTGGATTCTTTCCTACTTAATGTAGAACCAAAAAGTAATTGGTATAATGTCTCTGGACAAGTGGGTTAAAGTCTTGATCTGTCCTTTGTTATTTGTGACTGGCCAAGGTCACTTAATTTTAATAAGTAGTTATTTCTTCATCTGTAAAATGCTAATAATGATGCTAACTGAACAGGGTCATCATGGAGATTAAATAGGAGAATGAATATGAAAGTGGTTAGCAGATGGTAGCGAATATATATATTAATAAATAGGTATTTTATAATTCTGTTTAAATATTAAGGTTCTTATTGGATTTTTTTTCTTACTGAATTACATATAGCAACTTATTCATGGTGACTCATTAGACTTCCAGACAATTTAGTAGTTATTTAACAAAGGGTGTATTATCGAGGAATGAGATTTTGTAAATATGTCTGGGGAGTGTCAACCATACCCAACAAAGAACAATTACGTATTGCATCAATGACAATGTCGAAATAAAAATATTAGGAAATATATTGCAGGAAGTTTGAGGCTTCCTTGTGTGTGAGAGAGAAGGGAGTGGGTGAGGCAGAATGCCTGTGAATGTTATGAGCTGTGTGATACATAGTTGATAGAAATCTCGAAGGTAGAAATTTGGGCCTTAGAGTTTTAGAAAAAGACTTTATCTATATATAGGTATGTATGTATGTATTCACCTATCTATCCACCCCAACCCCATCCATCTATCCTGTATCCATAGCAGATGCTTGGTTGTCTACTCAGTAAACATTTTCTACTACCTCTTCCCTTCTGGAAAACACACCTCTTAAGTGAAGCTGAAAATTACAGATTCTCCTTTTCTCAACAGTGAATCGTATTTATATGACTCAGTTTTGACCAATGAGATGTAAAAAGAATTCTTCCAGGATGTTTTTGGGGAAGACCTTTCTCCCTGTTAGATTTATATGAGGAGGACATTTTTTTCTCTTCCTGTTCTGTGCCCTGTGGTGTGAGGACATGGTATTTGGAGTTGTTGCAGTGATCTTACTTCCTGAGACAATCAGCCAAAGGATGAAAACCCAATGTGCTGAGCATATCAGAGCAAAAAGATGGAAAGAGCCTAGGTCCTGGATGACACCATAAGTTGCTGGACCAATTCTTGAGCTACGTGCCTTCAGATTTTGTCGGACTTGAAATAATTAGATGTCTTTATTGCTTAAATCACTCTAAGTTTGGTATTACTTTAACACAGTCCTAGGTATACAAATATTCTCTCTTATTTTATTTTTAAAGAGACAGGGTCTCACTTTGTTGCCTAGGCTGGGTAGCCGGGATTATAGGCATGAGCCACTGCACCCAGTGTACAGGTATAATCTTAAAGTACTTTTTCGCCTCTTTGTCTTAGAAAGAATTTAAGGTATGCCACAATGCAGTATGGTTAAAGAAAGTTGAAATAGGTGAAAAAGAGGCAAAAAAAAAAAAAAAAAAGGAATATGGAGTGAGGACTGATGTTAATACACAAAAGGTATATCATGAAATCTTGTATACTTTCTAGGAGAAAGCAATATTTTATTTTGTGGTAGAAGAAACACTGTTAGCACGATGTTCAATAGTTTCCCATAAAAGTTTGTTGAATGAGTGATTAAGAGTAACAGCCCCTGTGGGCAGAAGCTCCTTCCTTCTCTCCTTCCCTCTTTTGAGCATGAAGATTTTAGCATGGAGAGTCGGGGAAGTCTCCAATGAACAAGTGTTGAGACTGAGGCACTGAAGTGCCATTATCAGATGGTTTCCTGACCCTGGGGATTTTCATTGGCCACTCTGCCAGAAGGAAAAAAGGAACTCATCTGCAGAGAGGAAGGCTGAGAAGATTAAAAACTAGTCCTCGGATCTCAATTCTATAAATCTATTAAAAAATGACAAAACATGGAAAGTGTTGTCACTACATAATTTGTAATGGCAAGAACTGGAAAGAACTTAAATGCCAACCTAAAAAGGTGGGGACCATATTGTACAGTTTCACATTGTAAATTGTGATTTATCTGGCGGATGGAATGTTAGGTGGTAAGCATTTATTTACATACTTCTACCCATATTTACATTTTCCACAACAATAACATGTCCCTGCCTAAGGTTTCGCAGTTGACTCGGTCCAATGGAAACACATTTTCTCCCTAGCACAGGCAAACCTAGCATCCTAGCAGTCAATGCCTCTACCTCTGCGGGATGTTGGCTTTCCCCCCAGCCCCTTTAGATCCAGCTTGCAGAACTGCATTCATCATCCTCCTTCTTCAGGATGCACTCTCATCATTGGTTCTGAGTGATGATCATACCTATTTTAATTTGGTTAGAATCGCAGCTAGATATCCTACATTTCAAGGACTATATTGTAAAGTTAATCACATCAACATACTTTATATAAAATGGGGAAAAAGTGGATGGAAAAATGTATGGATTAAGAAGTAAGGAAGAAAATATATAACGTATAGCTGCTACAGTCCTCATTTATGCAACTGGCTGGAAGAATAGTTGATATTCATAACTCTTTTTTTCTACCATTTATGCTGTTTCCTTTGCTCTCAGCCAGCAGGTTGTGATTTTTTTACCTGGTGGGAGACCCAAACTCCCATTTCTATTACATGTGAGCCTTTAGTTGTCCTGAATGCATCAAGTGGCTAAGTCTTCTATTCACATTTTACCAGTGGGCATGGCGGTACTAGGAGCCACCATCTCCTGGTTCCACATATACTCCTCCCTAGCCCTAGCCCCACGGCATTGCCTGCTTTTTTTTTTTTTTTTTTTTTTGAGACAGAGTTTTGCTCTGTCACCCAGGCTGGAGTGCAGTGGCATGATCTCAGCTCACTGCAACCTCCACCTCCCGGGTTCACGTCATTCTCCTGCCTCAGCCTCCCGAGTAGCTGGGACCACAGGCGCCCACCACCACGCCTGGCTAATTTTTTATATTTTTAGTAGAGACGGGGTTTCACCGTGTCAGCCAGGATGGTCTCAATCTCCTGATCCGCCCGCCTCGGCCTCCCAAAATGCTGGGATTACAGGTGTGAGCCACCGCGCCCGGCTGCATTGCCTGTTTTTGATCCCCAAGCCAATAGGTAGGTCTTTGTTTTCCGCTGTTGCTTGTCTCTAGATTTTTTCTGGGTCACAGATAAACTTATTTTATTTTTGAGCACTGCTATACCTTTGAAATATTTTAAGTTTCTCATTACTATGCTTTTGGAAGGGAGGTGGGAGTGAGATCACTTCTGCTATACTATATTGACACACTGTGGTGCCCCAACCCATTTCCCTCTTCAGGGCTGGCACTTCCGTGACTGCTAAGAGGATGGGACACCCAGGCTCACAGCTGTGTCCTTCACTGTGATTTGCCTCGGCTGCAGGTAACTGCCTCACCCAAGCTTATGCCTCCTCTTGGCTAATGTGGCTGTACAAACATCTACCTGCTTGCTTCAATTTGGAGCAACTTCTGCAGGGCCATCCCAACCTAGAGCTTCCTGTAGATGGGCTGGCATCTCAGCTGCAACTGCTTTGCTATCAGCTTCTCTTTCTGCCCCCTCCTGCCTTATTCAACTCTTTACAGGTGAAGCAGCTTATGTACCTCCTCACAGGTGAAGCAGCTTATTTAACTCCTTACAGGTGAAGCAGCTTATTTACCTCCTTGCAGGTGAAGCAGCTTGCTCACCTCCTTACAGATGAGGTGGAGAGTAGAGTGCTCCTGAAAACACTGAACTTTCCACCTCAGAGTCTATTTGGGAACCAGTCTAAGACTAGAAGTTCACCGGAGAAACTATTCAGTGCCCTGCTAATGAAACCTGTGCTTTAACTGGTGCGGTGGGTCTCTCTTATATTTTTCCTAGCAAGCCTTCTCTTTTCTGGAACTTGCTCTTCTTTTGGAAACTTTCATTCCCTGTGACCCCAGTCACATTATTTATTGTAAGATCTTCAATATTCTTATGTGACCTTACTTTTTATAATTCCTCTTTTGGCTTAATCTAGTTCGAACTGGGATTTCTGCTTTTTGCAAAGAAGCATTAGAAAGTAGTTCACTAGGTTAAAGCATTATTTTACAAACCACTATATTAACAGGCATGGTTTATTAGATTAACCAACTGCAGCCCAACGAAGGGCAGGTTTTAAGACAAGATAAATGAATTAGGAAATACAGTATTTGTTATTTATTTTTCTTAACAGAAAAAGTAGTACAGCTTATTGTGGAAAACTTGGAAAGTAGGGGGAAAAAGCTCATAATCCCACTGCCTAGAAATACTTAACTTTTATCATGATTATTTTGTATATTCCTCTATTCTTTTATCTAGAGATATGTGTTATGTATACATATTTTCTTTTAGAACAATGGGATCATACTGTTGGTGAGCTGCTTTGAAATGTTCTAATATACTATGAAAATATTTTGTGTCATTAAGTACTCTTTTATCACATGCTTTCTAAAAAACTGTTTAAGTTCAAGGGTACAAGTGCATGTTTGTGGTTTCTGTTAAAGTTGTGTCACGGGGGTTTGTTATACAGATTATGTCATCACCCAGGTATTAAACCTAGTACCCATTAGTTATTTTGCCTGATCCTCTCCCTTCTCTCACCCTTCACCCTCTGAAAGGACCCCCTGTGTGTTGTTCCCCTCTGTGTCCATGTGTTCTCATCATTTAGCTCTCACTTATAAGTGAGAATATGCAATATTTAGTTTTCTGCTCCTGTGTTAGTTTTCTAAGGATAATGGCCTCCAGCTCCATCTGTGTCCCTGCAAAGGACATGATCTCATTATTTTTTATGGCTGTGTAGTATTTCATGGTGTATATATACCACATTTTCTTTATCCAGTCTGTCACTGGTGGACATTTAGGTTGATTCCATGTCTTTGCTATTGTAATAGTGCTGCAGTGAACCTACGCATGCATGTATCTTTAAAATAGAATGATTTATATTCCTTTGGGCATATACCCAGTAATGGGATTGCTGGGTGGAATGGTATTTCTGTCTTTAGGTCTGTGAGGAATTGCCACACTGCCTTCCACAATGGCTGAACTAATTTACACTGCCACCAACAGTGTATAAGCATTCCTTTTTCCCCACAACCTCATCAGCGTCTGTTAGGTTTTCTTTTTAATTATAGCCACTCTGACTGGTGTTAGACTTTGTCTCATTGTATCACATAGTTTTTAATAGCTGCATAGTATTCCACCATATGGTTGTATTATAATTCGTTGAATCAAACATGAATTCAGGTTGTTTCCAAATTATTTCTGTTGCCAATGATATAGAGAATGAGGTCTTAGTTGAATCTTCGAACATAATTCCTGGAAGTGTAATTGATGAATCAAAACATTTGTATATTTTAAGACCTTTTATATGAATTGCTAAATTGGTTTCTAAAATGATTGTATCACCTTACACAGCAGCAGTATATAAAAGTACACTTTTCTAACATTGAGTTGTTTTCTTAAAAGAATTTTGTCAATTTGATAGGCAAATGGTCCTTTCTTTAACTCATGTTTTTTTAATTACCAATAGATGAAACATATTTTCATGTTTATTGTTTCTGTGTGTGTGTGTGCGTGTGTGTGTGCATATGTATGTAAATTATGTCCTTTGTCCAAGTTGTTTTGGCATGTTAAAAATTTTCTATATTTTACAATGCAGATATTTTTTCCAGTTTGTCATTTGCCTTCTAATTTTATTCATGGAGTCTTTTGATGTGCACAGTCAAATTTAATAAGTTTCTTCTGTGGTTTCTGCTATGCTTGAAAAGGCCTTCTCCCACCCTAGGGAAGAGGAACTTCGCTGGGAGGTGGGGTCACCTCTGAGGGAAGACAAAAGGGAATAGACAGAGAAGAAGGCAGACTAAGCCTGCGGCAAACTCCAGAATCCTGACAGGGGCCCTGAATTGTGTCTTCTCTCTCCCTCATTTTACAGATGAAGGAGCAGTGGTCTGGGGAGAATAAGAAATCAGATTGAAGTAGCAGATTACAAAGTCTCATAATAACAGCATTATCCATGGAGGGATCTATTATATTTTTGTAAAAAATAATTAATTTAGTGATGGTTAAAAGCTTAAAAATTCCTTTCGTGCTCATTTTATAGTCTAATGCTGGTCACAATATTGAAATAAGGAATTGAAAATGCCCCTGCAAGCTGATTACATCTTTACACTTAGAATTGATGGTTCTAATTTCTTTTTATTGATTGTGTAGCATTTTATAAAAGCTATATGGATGTCATGGTGCTTACCCAAAGCAAACTCGCTGTAGCAATCATCATCCATCTATAATTTTTAACAGTGTCCACAAATTAAACTGGAGGAACTTGAACCTGAAGAGGGAAAATAGGCTGTGTAGCACTCAAAATGTGGTAGCTTGTCTTGTTGGCTCAAGGACTGGAAACAAATTGCAAGTAAGTCAATGTTCCAGAAACAGGCTTTCCATCCATGAAGTAGTATATAGGGCTGCCAGATTTAACAAATAAAATGTGGGACACTCAGTTAAATTTGAATTTCAGATAAACAATGAATAATTTTTAATATAAGTCTGCCCTATGCATGATTTGGGGCATACTTGTACTATAAAATTGTTCATTCTTTATGTGAAATTAAAATTTAATGATGCATCCCTGTTTAATGCAACAGAGACCATTTGTTATACATATTAAATACTAAACCCATTCATTGCATGTATTATATGAGGTTCTTTCTTTAGCACTCCAACTGTAGTATAGTTGAATGAACAAGATACTTTCAAGGAAAAGTGGACCAAGAATCTCATATAGATTAGAAAAATGGCATGAAGTAGAAATATTGTATTAGTTTCCAAAGGCTGCTGAAAGAAAGTAGCACAAACTGGGCGGCTCAAAAATAACGGAATTTATTGTATCATAGTTCTGGAAGCTAGCAGTCTGAAACCAAGATGCCAGCGGTGTCCTGCTCCCTCAGAAACGTGGAGGGGAAGCCTTACTTGCATCTTCCTGGCTTCTGGTGGCTTGCAAATAATCCTTTCTGTTCCTTGATTTGCAGCTAGCTACAGCACTTTAATCTCTGCCTCTGTCGTCACGTGGCAAGCTTCCTGTGTGTCTCTCTTCATATGGTATTTCCTCTTTTTAGAAGGACAGCAGTGGGTTAGGGACTACTGGGTTAGGGCTCACACTAATGACCTCATCTTTAACTTGAATACATCTGCAAAGACCCTGTTTCCAAATAAGGTCACATTCACAGGTAGCAGGGGTAAGGACTTCAACATATCTTTTTGGGAGAGACAATTTAACATATAACAGACATGCTTGCTTAATATCCTTGGTTATATATTACAAATTAGAAAGCAACTTTTACTGTAGTCATTTTACTATTTGCCAATTACAAGTGCAGATACTGCCCAAATCAGTTTTTGATTGGAAAGATTTTCATTTTTGAAAGAACAAATAGACATTTTTATGTGGGGTTCTAGAATTTAAGCTTACATGTTTGGCCAGCAGCCTAAACTTCACGCTAGAAGGAGAAAGCTCTGGGGACTGCTGTATTAATCAAACAGAAGTTTATATTTCTCTGAACATAAGGTAAATTTTTCCTTTAAAGGAAAATAATAGTACTGCTATTAGACTCTCAGATGTGATGGTCAGGTGAAGGCCCCCTCTGCAGTCCCAGAGGGATCCCTCATAGCACCTTCAGTGACTTCTAGTATTAGTGTCATAAGAAGTGTGTGTATGGGGATGTTATACAATTTCCAGGGAATTTTGCTCTAAAAAATTTTTTTATTTTAAAATACTTTAGGGGAGCATTTATACAACAAAGTCCAAGGAACTCCTTAGTGGTGAATAAATAACAAGAGCCTAAAATAAACAGCAAAGGTGGCCAAGTAACTTGAAATTAAGTTATGGTGTTGGTATCACATGGTATAGTTCATCATAGGCTAGATCAGGTCAATTTTCTAATTCACACTAAGTCAAGGAAAGTAGGGTGTTTGAATATATATATATGTATATATCTATGTATACATATATACACACACATATATATGTTTATATCTATATATACATATATACACACACATATATATGTATGTATTTATATATACATATATACACACACATATATGTATATATATACATATATACACACATATATGTATATATATACATATATACACACACATATGTATATATCTATATATACATATATACACACACATATGTATATATCTATATATACATATATACACACATATGTATATATCTATATATACATATATACACACACATATGTATATATCTATATATACATATATACACACACATATATGTATATATCTATATATACATATATACACACACATATATGTATATATCTATATATACATATATACACACACATATATATGTATATATCTATATATACATATATATACACATATATATGTTCTTGGAAAGACAATATAACAGCATTAAAGAAAAATTAGAAAAACATTTTTGAAAAAATTTAAAATTACCGTAATCTCAGAAGCCTTATACAAATATGTTCATTTCTGCATACTACCTTCCACTCTTTTTGTAGTGCAGTGACATACCATTTTAAAGTTGGTAATTTCCTTGTGATAAAGTAATGCATGTGTTTGAAACTTCAACGTTTCCTTCTTTGAAATGAAGGCCACCCAACTTTAAAAGACATCTTCAACTTTGGCCTGTCATATAAAAAGATCACAATAAAAATATTAAGAAATTGCTTGGCATGATGTATAAGGTTGGGTTGTCATAACAGAGGATGTTGGTTGGCCTTGGGAAGGATTGTAGGCTGAGTGAGTTTTTTTTTTTTTTTTTTTAAAGACAGAATTTCACACTTGTTGCCCAGGTGGAGTGCAATGGCATGATCTTGGCTTACTGCAACTTCCACCTCCCAGGTTCAAGCGATTCTCCTGCCTCAGCCTCCCAAGTAGTGGGAATTATAGGCCTGCACCACCACGCTTGGCTAATTTTTCATACTTTTGGCAGAGACGGGATTTCACCATGTTGGCCGGGCTGGTCTCGAATTCCTGACCTCAGGTGATCGGCCCGCCTTGGCCTCCCAAAATGCTGGGATTACAGGCATGAGCCACTGTGCCCAGCTGGTAGGCTGAGTTTTTAAAGTACAAACTCGTGATTCAGGTTTGCGAACGTTTTACCCAAATTGTTTAAGTTTAGATGTATTAGTCTGTTCTCATGCTGCTAATAAAGACATATCCAAGACTGGGTAACTAGAAAGAGGTTTAATGGACTCACAGTTCCACGTGGGTGGGGAAGCCTTACAGTCATGGTGGAAGGTGAAAGGCACATCTTACATGGCAGCAGGCAAAGAGAGAAAGAGAGCCACGTGAAAGAGGAAGCCCCTTATAAAACCATCAGATCTCATGAGACTTATTCACTATCCCAAGAATAATGTGGGGGAAACTGCCCCCATGATTCAGTTATCTCCCACCGGTTCCCTCCCACAACACGTGGGAACTGTGGGTGCTACAATTCAAGATGAGATTTGGGTGGGGACACAGCCAAACCATATCACTAGACATAAATTATTTTACTTCTCATTATTTTTGTGTGCTAATTTTGAGGAGAAATTGCTTTTTGAAATGGATTCATCTCTGATATGTTAATATTTTTCACAGGGTATTCTTTGGCAACATCTATTAGTCGCTAACACAGAGCTTCTCTAAAAGCTTTCACGCTGTAATCAGGCTAATGCGTTTTCTTGGCAAATCCTGACACAGTAGACCTTTGGGTGCTTAGATATTTCCAACATAGGAAGGACCTTGATTGGGAGTAAGTGGACTAGGAAAATCAGGGAGCCTCATGTGCATCTTTTCTTGACCACATTTTAAAGTTGAACCACTGGTTGGCTCAACCCCTTCCCATCATCACTTCTGCTTTGCCATTTCTGGTGCTTCATGGCTGGTACCACGGAAGCCTCTTACCTACCAAGCTCATCCTGACCCAGGTTCAAAGCCAGTTATCATGGAGGCAGGACATTGTAGTCTTGGGTTCCTTACTTTCTGCTTAGCATGAGTCGTTTTCCTAAACCTGGGATTTGGATCCACCTCTGGGCTTCTGTTAGACTGGCTGACTCTAAGCCCAGGTTTCATGCTCCAGTAACTACTGGGCTCCAGTTCTACTCCCTGTGCCTCATCCTGTCTACTCCTGGGTGCATCACCTACCTGCTCTGGTTGTCAGCTCTGGTACCTCTTAACTTGCCTTGTTCTTGCCAAGCCTTTTCCCAAGAGCCAGTACCCTGCCTTGGCTTCTGAGCTAGGTCACGAAGGCTCTGCTTTTATCCTGGGCAAATGTTGTAATGTCACTCTTTTCTTTCCCTTGCATTTGTAGCTGCTATTTTTACCCACGTGCTGAGAGCCCTCCTCCACTCTTCTCTTAGACTTCCTTGGTGGACCTTTGTTTCAATAACTGACATTGTTTTTATTGTACCTAGCCCATGTCCCTATGTTGGCTAGGTCTCTCTTCGAGTGGCTGTCCTAACCTGCTTCTGAGGCCTATATGCTGATTTTTTTTTTTTTTTTGAGACAGAGTCTCTCTCTGTCGCCCAGGCTGGAGTGCAGTGGTGTGATCTCAGCTCACTGCAACCTCTGCCTCCTGGGTTCAAGCGATTCTCCTGCCTCAGCCTCCTGAGTAGCTGGGGTTACAGGCGCCAGCCACCATGCCTGGCTTATTTTTGTATTTTTAGTAGAAATGGGGTTTCATCATATTGGTCAGGCTGGTCTCGAACTCCTGACCTCAGATGATCCGCACGCCTCAGCCTCCCAAAGTGCTGGGATTACAGGCGTGAGCCACTGTGCCTGGCCTATCTGCTGAATCTTTAATCCCCTTCCTCCCTATCTGCTCTGTGCTGCTGTGAAACCCTGTTTTGTCATATACCAACTTCTGAGACAAAATGAAATGAGCCCACTATTTCTGAATGATTTGTGGATTTTTGTCTTGAGAGTTCAAGGTTCAGGTTTTGAGAGTTCACACAGGTTCACACAGTGTGATATTGGTTTATTTGAGTTCCTTCTGTTCTGTATTATCTGTTAAGGACCTTCATAGAGACAGCTTATAGCACATAGTGAAAAAGTGTTTACTGGCTAATGCATGCATGAATGAATGAATGTGTAAACCGTTGAAGGTTGTGCAGATGAAAAAATCCAAAGCTCAGGAAGGATATCTGCTTGAGGTCATTCATAGTAGATAGTAGAAGAGCTGGTATTCAAAACCAGTTCTGTTTGACTTCAAAACCCATAGGAAAACACCAAAAGTGACAGCTAATTTGTGTAGTAGAAGAAATACCCTTGGGAGGCCAAGGTAGGAGGATTGCTTGAGGCCAGGAGTTCAAGATCAGCCTGCGCAACACAGCCAGACCCTGCATCTACAAAGACTTAAAAAAATTAATCGGGCATATTGTGCATGCCTGTGGTCTCAGCTACTTGAAAGGCTGAGGCGGGAGGATGGCCTGAGCCCAGGAGGTCGAGGCTGCCGTGAGCTATGATGGTGCTACTGCACTCCAGCCTGGGTGACAGAGCCCTTATCTCTGGGGAGAAAAAGGAAATACCTGTAATTTTCTCTCTAGGAAGGGCGTATTTCAACAGGTAAAGAGGAAATACTGATAGGTTTTAACCTTTTCACATGGCTTCTAGTTTTATTGATTGTGTCTTGGAATGTTGAGTGTGAGCTATTGTACTGCTGCAGTGTCTGTGATTACATTGGAGAAATGGCAGTTGCTTTGTGTGTGACCCAGTCAATGTGTGATGCTCCCTGAGAGCAGTGGGAGTAGAGGGTTCTCTTGAGAGACCCTCTGGAAGAAGAAAAGCACCAAATGAAGATTTGAGACTTGATTCATTGTGTTTATAACACAGGACAAACCTGTACCCCAAGCCATAGGTCTGATGTTTTGTGGTCACACACCAGGGCAGGCCTGAAACAAAAGTGTTTTTTTTTTTCCCCTGAGACCTAAGGAAGCTGTTAGGAAGGTCTTCAGAGGCTTCTACAGATGCCCCAGTGCTTGAGATACCTCTATGTAGAGGATTTTGATATTTGTTTCCTTTTTTGGTGCCATGGATTCCTTTGGAAGTCAGAAGAATGTTTTTGGATGCATCAAATGAAATATATAGGATTACAAAGAAAACCAATTTTATTGAAATCTGGTGATATTACAGTAGGTCTAATAGCTGCTGTGATTTTGAAGTAGAGATGTTTGTAAATGATGTGGTGAGGAACCAACAACAATGTGATGTGACATGGAAATCTTTGGGCTTTTGATGGGTGACAAATTCATAGGCGCTGCTAAAAGTACTGTGGCTTGTGCCCTGCATCATGATGGAAAGAAACTTAAGTTCGGGGTTTGTGAAAAAAAGATAATCTTTTCCTCATCCAGGTTCACAATGCCCTAGGTGAAGGACCCTTTCTCTTTGGGTAGGAATATAAACTGGTTGCAAAGCAGCCACAGCAAACTCAGTTGCCCAGGCCTCCCAGTAGGTGGCAGAGGGATCTATAAGGCAATTACTATGTGAAAATTGAGCCCAGATTCATCACTTCACCTCTTTATGCATCACTTTCTTCTGTGTCACTGAGTGAGATGTGCTGGCTCCATCCTTACCTGAAGGTTAAATGCAGTGATCTATGTCAAATAAAATATGTCACATGCCTTAGAAGCAAAGTCAATATTTAGTAGGTGTAATTTCATCCAGACAGATGTAGGGAAAACTAAATGGGAGAGATTAGTTTTCATTATTCATGATTCTTTCTTTATCCAGTTTTTGTTCTCTTTGATACCCTTCCTAATAAATATTGCCTCATGATGATAATTTGTAGAATCATCATTTTTTAAAAGATCTGGATTAATCCTATCTCTTCCTTTAACAAAATTTGGTTTGTTATCACATTACTACCAATAATTTAAAATTTTCTTTGTTAGTTAAAAGATACTGAAAAAAAAAGCCGAAGAAAAGAAAAAAACCACCTGTAACTTTTCAACCATTTTTGGGAGCTGCATAAAGAAATGAAAGTGATCCTGTTCTCTGTACCTCTACCCTACAAGAGAAACACAATTAATGGTGTGATTTTTAAAGAATTGTCAACTTTTTGCAGCTTGGGTGTGTGTGTGTGTCTGTGTTTGTGTGCATATGTGTGTGTATTTTATTGATCTTTGTAATCATTGTGGTAATGCTAATGATTTCTCTCCAGGGTGCTTTTCTATACCTTTCTTTGGTAAGATTAGTCTTTTTGGGAGTGGCAGTTCTATTTCATGTGGTCCTTGAGTTGATCACAGAACACTGCTGTCCCCTGACACTGAGATGAAAAATTAAGACCCAGGTCTGGCTGACCATAGGAATTCATTGGTCAGGAACAGGTATTTGAAGGATATTATCTAGATTGGTACGTTCAGCAGTCTTCCAACATCTACTTCCTTTGCTATGGAGCTTGGAATGCTAATTTTCTCAATTTACCTTTACAGAGGTGTGGCCTTCTGACACTATTTTGCCAATAAAAAGTGAACAGAGGTCTGCTGAGGGTTTTGGAGGAAGTCTTTGCTTTCCTGATATAGATGTTGCTACTTTTTTCTTACCACCCTGTCCCCAGGGATGTGTTAGTTGGAGCAGGAGTGTATTAATCTGTTCTCACACTGCTATAAAGAAATACCTGAGACCGGGTTTTTCTTTTCTATCACGTTGTCAGGCTGCAAATTTTTTCAAACTTTTATGCTTGACTTCCTTTTTAAACATAAGTTCCAATTTCAGATAATTTTTCTCAAGTTCAAAGGTCCACAGATCTTCAGGGCAGAGGCAAAATTCTGTCAGTCTCTGCTAAAGCATAGCAAGAGTGACTTTTTCTCCAGTTCCCAAGAAGTTCCTCATATACATCTGAGACCACTTCAGCCTGGACTTCATTGTCCACATCATTATAAGCATTTTGGTCAAAACCATTCAACAAGTCCCTAGGAAGTTCCAAACTTTCCCACATCTTTCTGTCTTCTTCTGAGCCCTCCAAACTTTTTTAACCTCTGCCTTAGTTCAAAATACAATCACGCCTTCCCAACAGTTTGCCAAAGTCTTAACTCATTTCAGCATTAACTAAAAAGTAACAAAATGACCAACTATTTCTAAGAACTAGCAAGACATTTATATTAGACATAAGCCTTTAAGCCTTTCTCAATAAACCTTTAACCCTTTCTCAAGTTCATTGAGAAGACTCTCCTTCTCTTGAAGGAGTCACCTTCATTTCAGTGCTGCCACCTTTGGTGGTTCCTTTGCTTTTTGGAATCTGAGTTGAAGCTCTGGCTCTGTTTAGCACTCACAATGCAAATGCTGGGCCCCACCTGCATGGAATTGCTTCTTTACTCTCATATTTGGCTACAATACTGCTCAAGGCATGGGATCTAGCCTCCTGAGAAGGTTCTGAGGGGTGAGATGGTCAGTTCCAAATGGAACTTGATTAACAGACACTGGAGACAATAGAGAACTGGGTAAATAAGCCTTCCTCTTTTTTTCCTTTACTGTACTGCTCCAGGATGGTTTCTTCTTGTAGCCAATTACAGAGAAGTCCCTGTACCAAGTGAACTCCTGTTGAGTGAGCTGTTGTGTCTCTGCAGATTGTTGTGAACTGGCTGGTGGCTGGTTCCACCTTCCTAGGTGACGCAGCAATGCATTGCTTCACATCTTTCCTTTCGTCCCTTCCCTTTCCTCTCACTGAAGCCTTTTTGGGCTTGCAACTTCCTAATAAAAATTTAGCACTTTAATTCTTACCTCAAATTCTGCTTCCTGAAGGATTCATGCTAAGACATCACTCAATGTATATTTTGTGATGATTATCCTAACTAGCAGACCTTAAGACTATGGATGATTGTAAGGTTCAGTGAACTCTGATATTTCCAGAAATGCTTGTTTTAAAAGCAGTTCAAAGGTCCCATTTCTCCATGGTATTAAGCTGTAGTTATTGAAGTTCACTAAAAAAAATTCTTATTGAGAAAAATAAGATGACCTCATCATATGATTATCTTTTCCTGATCATACATGTAATACATATTCATTGCAGAAATATCAAAAGATAAAATAAACTAGAGGAAAGATAGTAATTATAACACAGAGACCACAATTGGTTGATTTCTTTTTAGCCATTATCTCTCTTTATATATGCATATGCAAGTATGTATGTATATGGATGTGTATATATATCTGTATATAGATATTTACATACATCTTTTTATAAAAATAGGACCAAGAAATCCATTCTGTTTTGAAGCCAGCATTTTACATTCAACATGTTATGGATATATTTCCATCCCATTAGTTCTACATTATTCTTTTGCCTCACTGTATAATATTCCATAATTTTTATAGGATGACCTAATATTATCTTAAGTAGGCTGTTGTGAGAATCAAATATACAGTAATATATTTAAGTGTTATTAGTAAACTATAAAACATGATACTAGTATAAATTATAATCTTATTTGCTGAACTAGAAAGTTGAAGATATTTTGTTTGTGGCTATGTTTTTCTGTCTAATTTATCACTTTAGTCTTTGTTTTTTCTGAGTCATCCATTCAGAAGAGGTTAAAATAATAGTAATTGAAATTAGTGAAACTTTTCCTGCTGTAGTGTATGAGATTTGAATTCTGCTGCTCTGAAGATAATGCATGAAAGGTGTTGTGTGAGTTTAAGTTATTTTGCCTCTTTGGAGGGCTGGTGAAGCTGACTAATAAATGAACTCATTTTGTCTAACCTCTTTATGCATGCTTATGTTTTTACATTCCTAACAAGAAATGCATGACCACTGCATACTCTTAAGGAGCAAATGTGCAGTGTAATTTCAGACCTGTCAACCCTTTCTGACACCGCTGAATGACTTTTGCTGTGCAAAGAATAATGTCACCTGGAGGGGCTATAATAATGAGGAATTTTAAAATCAATAATAGATAGAACTTGTCAGTGCCAAGGTTTAAATTGTTAGGTAAATTAGGCACAAGTGCCTAGTGGTCATTGTTGTTTCTTCATGATTATCAGGATTTCACTTACTGGAAGACCAGAAAGCCAAGCGGGTGATTTGAGTGTCTCCTAAAGGAGATATATATGTATATATGCATGTATGTGTGTGTGCGTATGTGTATATATATATATATATATATATATGTATGTGTGTGTGTATATACATGTATGTGCGTGTGTATATGTGTGTGTGTGTGCGTGTGTGTGTGTATATATATATATAGATAGATATATATATTTTTTTAACCTAAGAGTGAATTCCTGGGTTTGGATAGGAATTGGCAGAGCATTGGGTCTTGTGTATTGAAATAATCTTTAGTTAAACAAGTTGTTAAACATCATCATTTTACATTACAGGCTACATAATATAAGACACTGCTTGTCTGGCAGCTTAAGACAAGTTTTCATTTTACTCAAGTATTTGACTATGGTGTTCTTGACAGTCAAGGCATTTTTCAATTTTGAAGATTCTTTGAGGATTTTACTTGAGTCAGAAAACCTCAGTAAAAGGAACAAAGAGTTTTCTTTAAGAGTAAACAATTCTGAATTTGGCCCAGGAAAATGTGGATTGTTTCTTAGCACAGCATTCTTTTTTTTCAGGCAGGGTTAATAATGATTAATGTTTTATTTATAATATTAGCTTGAGAAACTGCAAGGCTGTTACTTCAGAAACCTGCCTGAGGAATCAGAGAGGATCATTCCCTTTTCTGGGAAAGACACTGTTCACTGTTATATCTGAAGGAGGCTGAGAAACACCTCTAGCGTGCTTCGAGCTTCCCTCACTTTCCAAGCTGCTGAGGGAATTACCTCATTGCTGCTCACCCTCTCCTCCCTCAGCCTTCATTGGAGAGATGGATGTTAAGCTGCAATTAAATACCTAGAAATTTATTGGTGTTATAATAAAAACATATGTAGTATTCCTCTAATCAACTTGCAATGTGGTAATGAAGCAGGGGAAGCATGAAATTGACAAAATTGTTTAAGCGTTTTTAACAGTACTGTTTAGAGTTTTGGATTCTATTACTGTCAAAACACAAATTCACCTCCTGTGGTGCCAATCAGAATGTTTGTTTTTCTTATTTATCAGTTAAGCACTTTTGTGTTTACCTTATTAAGGGGTGTTTTTTTTTGTGGGGCAGGGAGGGAAGCAGGGTGGTAGCTATTTATGAATATTGGTTATTAAGATGTGCAACTTTGGATCTGCTTCCTCTTAGAAAATAGATTCTAACTAAGATTTGTGGTTACTCTTCAGTGACATTTGATGTGGTTTTCTTTAGCAAAGCTATCTTTTGTTCAATCCCGGTAGCCTTTGCAAATGATTTCTTTATACTCCTTTTCTTCTATGAGTCTTAGAGAATGGCTTGTTCCTCCTCTGAGCTGTCACTCAGCCATGAGTTAGCATGTGTCAGTAAGGAGGCAGTCCTGCCTAGGAGGCAGTCAGTAAGGAGAGGTCGAGAAAGAACTTGAAGTTGGGGATGGTCTGTGCAGACACAATACCAAGTCTGTCATCATTGCCCCCTCAGATTCAGCCAATGAACCCCCCCTATTATTTCCAGAGACTTCACCATCCTTCTCTGTTACCACATTGGCTTTTACATATTTGTTTCCTGGCTACTCTTTGATTGCTCCAAGTGTGGACAGGTAACAATCACACCAAGGACCCACTCCTTTTCAGAAGATGCAAAGGAAAGACATATTTCTCTTTCCTCTTCAATGGTGTGGACATTCTGCCTACATTTGTTGGTGACATTTTGTTATTGATTGTGGAGATCTGATGTGGGCCCAGGAACATGTTGAAGGGAAAAGAGGATTTCCCATTCTTCAGAGCTGCTTTTCAGCCACATAACTGTGCTTTATTAAAAGCATCATGTCTGGTGCATAGTGGTTGCTTAGAAATATTTGTTAAATTGTTAAAAGTAATATTTAACTTTTGCCGAGTGCTTACAATATGCTGGACACTCTTTTAAGTGCTTTATATGCTCTAGCTCATTTAATTTAACAGATGAATGAATGTTAGGAAAGATAACAGAAGAAATTGCCTTTCAGCTGGTCAGATGCTAAACTGGTCAATATTTTATTAAAATTCCTGGACATGTTCAGTTCAAATTCACTTTTGAGGCTGGTAGAAAATATTTACTATATGTACCCAGCACTGAAAAATTTTCGCTTTCAATTTCTGCGATCAAGGTAGGTGTTTAAATCTCAGGGATCTGAAGAAATAGAAATAAATTTCTGTCTCTCTTTTTTCAGATTTGATTGAGTGGATGTTTGGAAGTTGTTACTGTAAATTAAAATTATTAAATCTTAGTAGTATTTTCTCACACGTTTGAAAATGGATATTACAATTTTATACCGCAATGCTTATATAATAATAAACTCTTAGCAGATTGTTTGTGATCATACAGTTTTTCCTAAGAGTTCTTTTGCAGGGAGAACATGACTGTTCAGAATATTATAAGAATAATTCATGCACATTAATAAGCAACATGCAGTACCTTATACATCTTTGTTGTAGTCAGTGCCTTTTGCTTAGGATCTCAATAAATGTTTGCTGAATTCAATAAAGATAATTTGGAAAACACACAAAAAATCTACATTCTCATCAATATACACTTACACTATTAGAGTTTAGAGGAGTTTCATTCCAGATATTTTTTTTATGAAAGGATAGCAAGCACATCTTTTATTTATTACAATCTTTGTAACTATTATTTCAACTATATTTTCAAAATGGAAATATCTTTATATCCTTTTTCTTGTTATAACAGGAAAGATATAACAAATTCAAACATTTAGAAATGCATTAAGTACCAAATGAAAATTTTTTATAATTTTACTTCCCATAGATAACATGTTTAACTGTTTCATTCATCATTTGAAATACCTACTTATTATTCCATTCAGTTAGTATAACCATAATTTACTTAGCTTTTTCATTATTATTGGGTATTTAAGATTTTTCTTCAAATTTTTGTTGTTATAAATACTCTAATGAATATCGTTGCACATAAGGCATTTCCTATATTTATTTCTCTGAGACAAATTTCTCAAAATGGAATTACTGAGTAAAAGGTTATGAATGAATGATAGGCCTTTGATAAATATTTTAAATTACTTTCAAAATGTTTATGCCAATTTATATTTTCAACAGGGGTATATAAAAAGATCAGGTTCACAACATTGTTGCCAGTATGGACTATTATTCAACAAAACACTTGCTAATTTCATGAAAAAACATGGCACTTTTTTACTGTAGTTTTATTTGCATTTCTTTAATTTCTGTTAGGACATTTCCCAATGTTGGTTTGTCAGTTGCAGTTTCTTTTGTGGATTGTTTATTTGTTATAAGGCTGTCAGGTTCATCGTATTGTATATGTGAACCTGTAAGTTGTAAAAAGATTAATCATTTACTGCAAAAGCTAATTTTTTCTCAGTTCATGCCTTTTAATTTTTTTTTTGATTTGGAGAGATTTCCAATTTTTATGCAGTAAGGCTATTGATCTTGTTTCTTCATTGCTTTTGAGCTTAGGAATTCCTTCTTCTTCTAGAGGTTTTATAGTTTTTCTTTTTCTTTTTTCTGTTTGTCACACTTAATTGATGCTGGGGGTCAGGAGGAGACCTGGAGGAGTGTGTGGGGGCAAAGGGCTGCAGGTAGGGACAGGGCAAGTGCTGAGGCCTGGCTATTGGGCAGGGAAGACAGTTTCCACTGAATGCACAAGGAATGAGCAGCAGCTGGTACTCCAGGGGCAGGTGCTACTTCACAAGCACGTGCAGTAAGACATAGTCTGTGACCAGGCTCTGCCTGCAGCAGAGGAAGAGAAGGGACAGACAGAATCAGCACTCCCTCACCCAGCACCTTCCCCTTCCACCCACTTAGAGTTTTTCTATGCTACAAGCTGTAACTACTCAACTTTTTGATCCATCTGGAGATTATTATAGTTATGGCAAAAGAGGGAATTCTCTATTAGTTTGTTTTTCACATTTTTATTTTGTTTTATTTTTTGAGACAGGGTCTTATTCTGTCACCCAGGCTGGAGTGCAGCGGCACAATCATGGCTCACTGCAGCCTTGACCTCCAGGGCTCAATAGATCCCCCGCCCCAGCCTACCAAGTAGCTGGGACTACAGGCGCACACCACCATGCCCATCTAAATTTTTCTATTTTTTATAGAGACAGGGTTTCATTATGTTGCCCAGGGTGGTCTTAAACTTCTGGGTTCAAGTGATCTTCCCACCTTGGCCTCCCAAAGTGTTGGGATTACAGGTATGAGGCACTGTGCCCAGCTCTTTTTCACATTTTCATCTCATTTTCCCAACATCATTTATTAAGTAAATTTTTCCCTCTCTCTTGATTTATAATGACTACAATATCATACTTTTAATTTTTAGGGTCTAAGTTTTAGGGCCACAGGGTCTAATTCTCATTATTTATTTGAATTTAGGCATATGAGCCGTTTATTATTTGTATATATATTATTTTAACTACCTTAATTTTGTAGTTGGTTCAGCACATTTTTTGAGAGCTTACATGTATACAGTTCAGTAACTTACAAATTTTTGTTTGTAAATATTCTTACCTGTTTATTCTATTCAAATGAATTTCAGAACACTTAAAGTCTCCTTAATCCTGTTGGGATTTTAAATACAAATATACATTTTGGAAGCCTTTATATATTTATCATAATTTTCCTATTCTTACTCAAATATTATTCTATAAATATTTTTGTTTTTTCATGATGTTTGTATTTCTCATGGAAATTTTCCCTTTAAAATTTTTGTTCTTTCTATAGTAAATAAAATCTGTTTTAAGATTATATTATCTAATTAGACTACTATATTGGAATGTTATTTATTAAAAAATATTTATGTTCGGCGGGGCGCGGTGGCTCACACCTGTAATCCCAGCACTTTGGGAGGCCGAGGCGGGCGGATCACGAGGTCAGGAGATCGAGACCATCCTGGCTAACACAGTGAAACCCCGTCTCTACTAAAAATACAAAAAATTAGCCGGGCGTAGTGGCGGGCGCCTGTAGTCCCAACTACTTGGGAGGCTGAAGCAGGAGAATGGCGTGAACCCGGGAGGCAGAGCTTGCAGTGAGCCGAGATCGCTCCACTGCACTCCAGCCTGGGCGACAGAACGAGACTCCGTCTCAAAAATAAATAAATAAATAAATAAATAAATAAATAAATAAAAATTAAAAAATTATGTTCTATGTAGCCATTTTTTAAAACTTTTTTTTTAGTTTTACTAGTTATTGGAATTCTCTATTTGGATATTCAAGGTAGCCACTCATCTGCAAATAATGATAATTTTGTCTTTTCCTTTACTGCATTCATGACTTTTGTTTCATATATATAATACTAAATATTGGTAATAGAAAGCTTCCTTATTTTGTGCCTAATTTTAATATTATGCCTATAGAATTTATTAAGCATGAAGCTGGCTGGTTGGTTGATATAGAAATTACTTTTCGTTTATTGGGTGTTTATTATGTGCCAAGCACTGGGCTATGTATACATGAGGTTAGTGGTGGTGTTTTTATTTGACCTAGGTCTGTTTCACTTCAAAGTCTTTTCTCCTTTTTGTCCTATTTTAAAGCTAGTAATGAAATCAGGCATGGAGGTTAATTTTATTAAATGCCTTTTTGGCAGCTGGGGAGTTTTATTTATTGATGTTATAAATGTATATTTCATCTTTAGTATAAATTGATATTCTTCCTTATTCAAAGAAAGTATTTCAGTAACTTCTATGTATTCATATATTAGGATAAAAAAATGAATGACAAGTTGGGGCAAATGATTAAATGGTGAATTATGGATCTTCTTGTTTGGCTTTTTCCGTCACAGCATATTGTGTTCATAAGTTTCTCATTACTGGGCCATTCTTGTTTTCTCTGCTTAATTTTATTTGGTTACCATAGATGATATTTTGTTGAATTATATTTGCTAACATTTTATTTGTAATTTCACTCTTATACTCTTAAATGAAATTTTTCTAAGTCTCCTTCCACTCTTTTCTTTCCTTCCTCTTCCCTTTTCTTCCCTGTCCCTTAGCCTTTCCAAAAAAATGTTTTTGTACTATCTTTGTGAAGTTTTGGTATTAAGGCTATATTTGCTTTTCTAGAATTCATGAGGTTGTTTTCCATTTCTTACTTATGTTCTTTCTGGTGCTGGATCCATTTGCTTCATATGATACTATCTGTCCCTCAAATTTTGAAAGAATTCACCTGTAAAACATGATGAGCTGGGAACATAACCATTCTAGTAAACAAGATAAGTGGGAGAGGAAAGTTGGTATATAGTTTTTATTCTTTGAAAATGCCTGCCCTTCTTTGCAAGTTAATTCTCCTTCTAAATGAGAATAATAACAAGGACCTTTGTACCTTTGAGATTAAGCAGTATCTTAAACTGGAATTTTCCTGGTGCAATAATTACATTTGCTGCTCCATCAGTTCAGACTTGATGGTCTATTGACATTAGTGGTCCCTGAAAAGCTTCTTGATGATTTATTTTGTTCCTGCTCTGCCCAGGTGACAAACCGACTTATTTTCCTCTTTGTTGGCATATTGAGGGTACAATGTCTTCCTACTTTGGGAAAAATCATGATGTAGTGCTGAGAGCATGGACTACTTTGGAGATCGATGGATCTGACTTTCCAAGCCAACCACACTGCTTATTATAATGTCAACTTTTCTCATCCCTCAAGTGAGACTAGAAATAAAGTCAAGCCATTGGTTTTATGGAAAAATTAAGTGAAAAAATCTTTTTCAAATGCTGAGCACAGATGGTAGCTCTTTTTATTCAATGCTTCATATTCATTGCTTCTTTTTTATTACACCAACAGTGTCAAAATGTAGTCAGAAATGTAAAAAATGTTAACTTTTTAAGTAAAAAATAACTTTATTGAGGTATAATTTACATACAATAAAATGCTTCCATGAGTGTGTATGTATATTTTTAATTTTTAATTACTATGGGAATATAATAGCTGTATATATTAATGGGGTACATGTGATGTTCTGATACAGGCATACAATATGTAAGAAACACATCAGAGTAAATGGAATATCCATCACCTCAAGTATTTATCATTTCCTTGTGTTAGGGACATTCAAATTCTATTCTTTTGGTTATTTTTAAATACACGGTAAATTATTAATGACTTTAGTCACCCTGTTATACTATCAAATAATAGATCTTATTCATTCTATCTATGTATTTTTTGTACACATTAATCATCCCCACTCCATTTCCCCTCACCCCCATGTTACCCTGCCCAGCCTCTGGTAATGATCATTCTGCTCTATAGCTTCATGAGTTCAATTGTTTTAATTGTTAGTTCTCACAAATGAGTGAGAATATGTGAAATTTGTCTTTCTGTGCCAGGCTTGTTTCACTTAACATAATGTCCTCCATTTCCATCCATGAAACTGACATGAAATGACAGGATTTCATTATTTTTTATGGCTGAATAATATTCTATTTTGTAATATGTGCCACATTTTCTTTATCTGTTCATTGACTGATGAACACTTAGGTTGATTGTAAATCTTGGTTATTGTGAATAGAGCTGCAATAAACATGGGAGTGTAGGTGTCTCTTCGATATACTGATTTCCTCTCTTTTGGATATAAATCTAGCAGTGGGATTGCTGCATCATACGGTAGCTCTTTTTTTAGTGTTTTGAGGAAACTCCATACTGTTCTCCATGGTGGCTATACTAATTTACATTCCACCAACAGTGTATGAGGCTTCTTCTTTCTCCATATCCTCACTAGCATTTGTTATTAGTTTTTGATAACCATTCTAACTGGGGTGAGATGATATCTTATTGTGGTTCTGATTTGCATTTCCCTAATTATTAATGGTGTTGAGCATTTTATAATATACCTGTCTGCCATTTTTATGTCTTCCTTTGACAAATGTCTGTTTAGATCTTTTGCCCATTTTTAAATCAAATTATTTATTGAGTTGTTTGAATTCCTTATTTATTCTAGTTATTAATCCCCTGTCAAATCGGTAGTTTGAAAATATTTTCTCCCATTCCGTGAGTTGTCTCTTCACCTTGTTGATTGTTTCCTTTGCTGTGCAGAAGCCTTTTTACTTGATGTAATCCCATTTGTCCCTTTTTTGCTTTGGTTGCCTGTGCTTTTGAGGTATTACTAAAGAAATCTTTGCCCAGATCAATGTCCTGTAGAGTTTCCCCAATGTTTCCTTTTAGTAGCTTCATAGTTTAAAGTCTTAGATTTAAGTCTTTAATCCATTTAATTTGATTTTTGTATATGGCGAGAGTTTCATTCTCTTGCATGTGGACATCCAATTTTTCCAGTACCTTTTATTGAAGACTGTCCTTTTTCCAATGAATGTTCTTGGCATCTTTGTCAAAAGAGCTCACTGTAGATGCGTGGATTTATTTCTGTGCTTTCTGTTCTATTGGTCTATTTGTCTGTTTTTATGCCACTACCATACTGTTTTGGCTACTATAGCTTTGTAGTATCATTTGATGTCAGATAATGCTATTCCTCCAGTTTTATTGTTTTTGCTCAAGATAGCTTTGGCTATTCTGGGTCTTTAGTGGTTATTATGAATTTTAGGATTATCTTTTCTATTTCTGTGAACAATGTCATTTGTATTTTGATAGGGATTGACTGAATCTACAGATTGCTTTGGGTAGTATGGACAATTGAACACTATTGATTATTCTAATACATGAACATGAAATATCTTTCCATTTTTCGGTGTCCTCTTCAGTTTCTTGCATTAATGTTTTATAGTTTTCATTGTAGAAATGTTCCACTTCTTTGGTTAATTGCTAGATATTTTATTTCATTTGTAGCTATTATGAATGGGATTACTTTCTTGATTTCTTTTTTCAGATTTTTCACTGTTGGCATAAAGAAATGCTACTGATTTTTGTATGTTGATTTTGTATCCTGCAAATTTACTGAATTTATTTATCAATTCTAATACTTTTTTGTGAAGTCTTTAAGTTTTTTCCAAATATAAGATCATATCATCTACAAGTAAGGATAATGTCACTTCTTCCTTTCCAATTTGGATCCCCTTTATTTCTTTCTCTTGTCTGATTGCTCTAACTAGGACTTCCAGTACTATGTTGAATAACAATGGTGAGAGTGGGCATCCTTGTCTTGTTCCAGATCTCAGAGGAAAGGCTTTCAGTTTTTGCCTGTTTAGTATGATACTAGCTGTGGGTCTGTCATATATGGCTTTTATTGTGTTAAGATATGTTCCGTCACTGCCCATTTTTTTAGAGTGTTTATCATGAATGGATATTGAATTTTACTGAATGTTTTTTCAGCATCAATTGAAATGATATTATTATTTGATAATGATAATTTAAATGATCATATTCTGTTTATATGACATATCATGTTAATTGATTTGCATATCTTGGACCATCTTTGCATTTCTGGGATGAATCCCACTTGGCCATGATAATGATCTTTTAAATATGTTGTTGTATTTGGTTAGCTAGAATTTTCTTGAGAAATTTTTATCTATGTTCATCAGAGATAGTGGCCTGATGTTTTCTTTTTTCTTGTGTCTTTGTCTGATTTTGGTATCACAGTAATACTGGCCTTGTAGAATGGGTTTGGAAATAGTCCCTCCTCTTCACTTTTTTTTTTTTTTTGGTATAGTTTGAGTAGGATTGGTGTTAGTTCTTCTTTAAATGTTTAGTAAAATTCAGTAGTTAAGCCATTGAGTCCTGAGATTTTCTTTGCTAGGAGACTTTTTATTATGGCTTCAATCTCATTACTTGTCACTGGCCTATTCAGATTTTGGATTTCTTCATGGTTCAATCAGTAGGTTGTATGTGCCCAGAAATTTATCCATTTCTTTTAGGTTTTCCAGTTTATTGGCATATAGTTGTTCATAATAGCCTCCAATGATTCTTTGAATTTCTGTGCTATCAGTTGTAATGTCTTCTCTTTTATTTCTGATTTTATTTATTTGGGTCTTCTCTCTTATTTAAGTTAGTTTTGCTAAAGGTTTTTCAATTTCACTTATCTTTTCAAAACACCAACTTTGCATTTTATTGGTCTTTTGTATTATTCTTTTGCTATCAATTTCATTTATTTCTTCTCCGATCTTTATTATTTCTTTTTTTCTATAAATTTTAGGTTTGATTTGCTCTTTCTTTTCTAGTTCTTTAAGATGTATTATTAGGTTATTTATTTGAAGTTTTTCTACTTTTTGGATGTAGGGACTTATTTGCTATAAACTTTCCTCTTAGTACTGCCTTTGCTATACCTGATAGATTTTAATATGTTGTGTTCTCATTTTCATTTGTTTCAAGAAATTTTTCAATTTTCTTCTTAATTTCTTCATTGATCCACTGGTCATTCAGGAGCATACTGTTTAATTGTCATGTTTTCATATAGTTTCCGAAGTTTCTCTTGTAATTGATTTCTAGTTTTATTCCATGGTGAGCAGAGAATATACTTCATTTTATTTCAATTTTCTTTTCTTTTTTGTAAATACCAGGCAAAGATCAGGTGAAAGATTTCAATTTTTGTGAGTTTTTAACGACTTGTTTTTTTGCCTAATATATGGCACGTCCTTGAGAATGATGCATGTGCTAAGAAGAAAGTGCATTCTGTAGCTGTTGGATGAAATGTTCTGTAAATATATCTATTAGGTGCATTTAGTCTATAGTGCAGATTAAGTTTGATATTTCTTTGTTTATTTTCTGTCTGGATGATCTGTCCAATACTGAAAGTGGGTTGTTGAGATCTTCAGCTATTATTGTATTGGGGCCTATCTCTCTCTTTAGCACTAATAATATTTTCTTTATATATCTGGGTGCTCCATTGTTGGGTGCATATATATTTACAATTGGTATATCCTCTTGCTGAATTGACCCCTCTATCATTATATGATAACCTTCTTTGTCTTAAGATCTACACTATCTAATATAAGTATCGCTACTCCTGCTCTTTTTTGGTTTCCGTTTGCATGGGATATGTTTTTTCCACCCCTTTATTTTCAGTCTGTGTCTTTATAGGTGAAGTGAGTCTCTTGTAAACAACATATAGTTGAGGTCTTATTTTTCTATCCATTCAGCCACTCTATGTCTTTTGATTGGAGAGTTTAGTTCATTTACGTTCAATGTCATTATTGATAGTTAAGGACTTACTACTGCCATTGTTATTTGTTTTCTGTTTGTTCTGTGGCCTTCCTTTCTTCCTGTCTTCCTTTGTGTAAAAGTGATTTTCTCTGGTAGTATGTTTTAATTTCTTATTTTTAATCTATCTGCTGTAGGTCTTTGATTTTAGGTGACCATGAGGCTTGCTTGCAAAAAACATTTTATAACCCATTATTTTAAACTGATGACAACTTAACTCTGATGACCAAAACAAAAAACAAACAAAAAAAAACCCCAAAAAACCACACTCCACTAATAAACAAGCAAAAAGAAAACAAATAAAAACTCTGCACTTTAACACCATCCCTCCAAAACTTTTTAACTTTTCACTGTTTCTATCTTTCAATACTATCTACCTGTTAAAAAGTTGTTATAGTTATTATTTTTGATTGGTTTGTCTTACTCAAGATATGAGTGGTTTAACACTACAATTATAATGTTACAGTAGTCTGTTTTTTTTGTGTACTTACTGTTACTCATGAGTTTTATACCTTCAGATGATTTCTTATTGCTCATTATTGTCCTTTTTTTTCAGGTTGAAGAATACTCTTTAGCATTTTTTGTAGGACATGTCTGGTGTCAATGAAATCTATCATCTTTTGTCTGGGAAAGTATTTTTTTTTCTCCTTCATGTTTGAAGGATTTTTGCTAGATATAATATTCTAGGATAAAAGTTTTCTTTTTTCTTTCAGCAATTTGAATATGTCATACCATTCTTTCCTGGCCTACAAGATTCCCATTGAGAAGTCTGCTGCCAGATGTATTGGATCGCCTTTATATGTTATTGATTTCTTTTCTTTTGCTGTTTTTAAGGTTCTTTCTTTATCCTTGACCTTTGGGAGTTTTGTTTATTAAATGCTTTGAAGTAGTTTTATTTGGGTTAAATCTGCTTAATGTTCTATGACCTTGTACCTGAATACTGATGTTGCTCTAAATTAGGAAAGTTCTATGTTATTATTTCTTTCAATAAACTTTCTACCCCAATCTCTCTTTCTACCTCTTCTTTAAGGTTAATAACTCATAGATTTACCCTTTTGTGGCTATTTTCTAAATCTTGTAAGCATATTTTATTCCTTTTTTTAATCTTTTTTATCCTCTGACTGTATATTTTCAAATAGCCTGTCTTCAAATTCATTAATTCTTTCTTTTGCTTGATCAATTATGCTGTTGAGAGACTCTGAAGTATTTTCCAGTTTGTCAATTGAAGCTTTCAGCCAGAATTTCTGCTTGATTTTTTAAAGTTATTTAAATATCCTTGTTAAATTTTTCTGATGGGATTCTCTGAATTCTTCTCTGTGTTTTCTTGAGATTTGTTGAACTTCCTCAAAACAGCTATTTTGAATTCTCTCTCTGTAAAGTCAAATATCTCTGTCACTGGGGGATTAGTCAGTGGTGACTTAGTTCATTTGGTGAGGTCATGTTTTCTTGCTTGTTGTTGATGCTTGCGGATGTTCATCCATGCATGTTTGGGCATTGAAGAATTAGGTATTTATTCTAATCCCTCAGTCTGGGCTTTTTTGTACCCATCCTTTGTGAGAAGGCTTTCCAGGTATTCAAAGGGAATTAAATGTTATGATCTAAGTCTTTGGTCACTGCAGTCATATCTGCACTAGAGGGCGCCCCATGTCCAGTAATGCTATTATTCTTGTAGACTTCTACTGCCTTGGTGGGCTTGGGTAAGATGGGGAGAATTCCCTTATGAGGCAGTTTCTCATTCTTTTTCTTCACTTTCTTCAAAACAGGAGTCTCTCTCTCTCTCTCTGTGCTGGGCTGCCTGGAGTTGGGGGAGGGGTGACGCAGACACTTCTAAGGCCAGTACAGCCAGGACTATCCTGGGTCACATCTGAAGCCAGTACTGAGTCTTGCTCAAGGCCCATGGTAACTACTGCCCAGCTACCACTGGTATTTATTCAAGCCCCCAGGGGTCTTTAGTTAGCAGGTGGTGAATCCTTCCAGGACTGGGTCCTTCTCTTTGGGCAGCAGCTTCCCTTCTGGCCCAGGAAGGATCTAGAAATGATGTCCAGGAGCTAGGGCCTGGAATTGGGCCATTTCAGAAATCTGCTTGGTGGTGCTGGTGCTGGTGGTGGTTCTTCTTTCTTCTTCTTCTTTTTCTTTTTTAACTGTGTCTAAGCTGGTTCCCAGGTTGCAAGATGAAGTCGTCTTTACTCTTCCCTCTCCTCTCCTCAAGTGGAAGAAGTCTCTCCCCCAGCTGCACTGCCTGGAGTTGGGGGAAGAGCAACAAAAGCACTCCCTTGGCCACCACAACTGTCTTGATGGATTGTGTGCACTCCAATTCCTCTGGCTCCCAGCCCAGTGCAGCAACCAGACTTGCCCATGGACTGCAGTCCTTGTGGCCTGACTGCCTTTCATATTTATTCAGGACTCCAGGGCTCTTTAGTCAGCTGGTGGTGGAGCTGGCTGGCACCCAGGTTCCTACCCTGGGGCAGAGGATTCCCCTCTGGCCAAGGGTAGTTTAAATGCTCCCTCCCTTCTCCAGGTACCTGTGTACTTGGAGATTCTCTCTCTGCAGGCTACTGTTGGGGTGAGGGGCCATGCAAGACTGTCTTTCTTACTGTTTTCAGTGCCCCTTTCTCTTTTTTTTGGTCTCTGTTTCTTGATTCATGACCCTTTCCTTGATACGGTGTTAAAACCAGGCATGGTGATTGCTCACTTGATTTTTGGTTCTTATGAAGGTGATTTCTTGCATGGATAGTTGTTCAATTTGGTGTTTCTGTTGGGGAATGATTTCTGGAGGGTTCTGTTCTGCCATCTGGCTCTGCCTGTCTCTATTCTATGAGTTTTGAGAAATGTTTACACAATCAAAATATAAAACATTTCTGTCCACCCAAATGGTCCCCCTGTTCTCCTTCCCATAACCACCATCTCCCAATCCCAGTCCTAGGCAACCACTGATCTGCTTTCTATCATTATAGACCATATTTGTCTTTCCTACAGTTTCATATGAATGGGATTATGAAGTAGGCACTCTTTTGTGTTAGGTCCCCCCACCACCCGCCGCCGCTCACCCCTCAGTGTAATGTTTTAGAGATTCCTCTATGTTGTGGCATGGAACAGTAGTTGTTTTTTTTGTTTTTTTGTTTTTTTTGTAACTGAATTTGGGCTGTTTTCAGCATTTCGTTATTATTATTATTAATAATACTGCTATAAACCCATGTGTACTTTAAAAATAAGTTTTGTTTTCAGTGTTTTCATAAATTTTTAAAAATTATTTTTTGGAATTTTTGTGGGTACATAGTAGGTGTATATATTTATGGGGTATGTGAGATGTTTTGATACAGTCCTGCAGTGTGAAATAAGCATATCACAGAGAATGGAGTATCCATCCCCTCAAGCATTTTTCCTTTGAGTTTCAAACAACCCAGTTACATTCTTTAAGTTATTTTAAAATATGCAATTACGTTATTATTGACTATAGTCACCCTATTGTGCTATCAAAGAGTAGGTCTTATTCATTCTATTTTTTAATAAGTGAGAATGTACATATGTTTTCTTTTAAAGGATACTTGGGAGAGGAATTCCTGAGTCACATGGTAAATGTATGTTGACCTTTCTAAGAAACTGTCAAATAGTTTATCCAAGTAGCTGCATTGTTTTACATTTCTACCAGCAATGTCTGAGAGTTCTAATTGCTCTATATCCTTGCTAACACTTGATATTCTCAGTCTTTTACATTTTTAGCCATTTGAGTGGGGATGTTGTGGTATCTTTTGTGGTTTTAACTGTATTTTCTTTATGACTAAAGATGGGGAGCATCTTTACATATGCTTTTTGGCATTCTATGTATTCTTTCTGTGAAATTTCTGTTCAAATATTTTTCCCATTTTAATTGTGTTATTGGTGTTCTTTTTATAAAATTATAAGAGTTCTTTATGTATTGTACCTACAAGTCCTGGTCAGATAAATGTATTTTTTTTTTTAGAAGTTTTATAGTTTTGTTTTTATGTTTAGGTTTATAACCCATTTCAAATTAATTTTTGTGACTAGTGAAGTAAAGGTCAAGGTTCACTTTTCCCCATTTGGATATTAAGTCTTAAGATCAGAGAGTATGAGTACTTTGTTCTTATTTTTCAAAATAGTTTTGGGTGTTTTAGGTCTTTTACTTTTCCTTATAAATTCTAGAATCAGCTTGTCAGTTTCTACAATAAAGCCTGCTGGGATTTTGACTGATATTATGAAAAATCTATAGACCAATTTGGTGAGATCTGATGTCTAATCAATATGGAGTCTTCTGACATGAATATAGGTTATGTCTTCATTTTTTTCGGTCTTTATTTTGTCTCAGCAATATTTTATTATTTTCAGTGTAAGGACTTGCATACTTTAAAAAATTGTCTCTAATTATTTAATATTTTTTGATATTATAAATGGTAGTATTTTAAGATTTGAATTTCTAATTGTTTCTAGAATATAGAAGTAGAATTGATTTTAGGTATTGTTTTTGTATCCTGCTACCTTCCTAGATCACTTGTTATTTCTAGTGGCTTTTTTCTAGATTCCTTAGGATATCCTATGTTCATGAGCATGTCATGTTTACTAATACAGGCAAATTTACCTCACCTTTTCCAATTGGCATGCCTTTTATTTCCTTTTCTTACATTACTGCACTGGCTAGGACTGTTAGCAAAATGTTGAGTAAGAGTAGTGAGAGAAGCCATCGTTATTTCTGATTTTAGGGGGAAAGTATTCAGTTTTTCACCATTAAGTAAGATTTTTCATACATCAATTGAAGAAGTTCCATTCTATTTCTAGTTTGCTGAGAGTAATTAACATGAATGAATTTAGATTTTTAATTAAATACCTTTTCTGTATTTGTTGAGAGGATCATACTGTATTTCTCCTTTTTTTTGTTAATATAGTGAATTTGCATTGATTACTTTTCTTTTTTTTTTTGAAACGGAGTCTCACTCTGTCGCCCAGGCTGGGGTGCAGTGGCGTGATCCTGGTTCACTGCAACCTCTGCCTCCCAGTTTCAAGCAATTCTCCTGCCTCAGCCTCCTGAGTAGCTGGGATTATAGGTGCCCACCACCATGCCTGGCTAATTTTTTGTATTTTTATTAGAGACAGAGTTTCACCATGTTAGCCAGGCTGGTCTCGAACTCCCAACCTCAGGTGATCTGCCTGCTTCGGCCTCCCAAAGTGCTGGGATTACAGGCCACTGCACCTGGCCACATTGATTGCTTTTCTATTAAACCTTTTGTTTCTGGGGCAAACCCCATTTAAACACAGTGTTTTACTCTTTACATATTGCTGGGTTTAATTCTGCCTAAAATACCAGTTATTTCATAAAATTGGGTACAGATCACATAGGATTTCACGTAGCATTAATTCTGTTGAAAGAGATAGTGAGATGCAAGGTATAAAGTAAAGCAGTTGTTTTTCTAAAACTAAGAGTAAGACGGTAACAATTGAGGAAAATTGGTGATTTGTTTTATTGCTATAGTATTAACTGACACTGAGCCAAAGCTTTCTGTTTTATAGAAATGTCTTTAGAAACATGGGGGAATTCATAGTGAATATAATTTCCTAAGAATTTCCCTTCCTTTTTTGTTAAACTTGTCAGTTTATATTCTTGCTAGTGAGTTATGAAAAGCTTTATAAATGGACTTCAATTACTCTACCTGCCTTGAGAGTTGACAAATGCAATAGCCTAGATGTTTTACGTGGGCTCTGCAATCCAATATCAAGGCCTTTCTTCCCAGTAGAATTTAAGTAATGTAAACAAAACAAGGGCATGGGGGAATGAAAATGTGCAGAGCAAAGTTTTTAGGAGTAAATCAGTTTGAGTGATGATCTAAGGGTCATGCTTGTATTACGATTGATGATTGTTCTGCATTGTATTATCTGGGGCTACACATGGAGAGTGGTCTTTAAAATTGCCACTAGATTTCTCACAGTGGAATCTCTGCCTCTGGTAAGAGGTAAAGTTCTGGTGAGAGGTAAGAGGAAAGTTCTGGTAAGAGGTAAAGTTCCAACTGGAGCCTTCAGGACAAATGTGTTGTGAGCACCTAAAAATATTTAAGGAACACTCTTTACTTTTGTATAGAAGTGTGTGTATCCTTCTTTTGAGAGTATGATACTCATTTCCCAAGGACCTCCAGATTCTTCCAGTGCCTCTTGCTGTGTCCACCTACAGAAAGAGATAGCTATCCCAAGAATAATCCAGAAGGCGTGGTGTAGTCAGCAATCAGCAGTCAACATAGTTCCTGTATGTATGAGACTCAGGAGTTTTGCTCTAGTGTGAGGACTAGAAAGCCAGGTCTGCACACAGCTCAGTGGTGCATTTTAGGGGCACATTAATGTCTGTGTATGGAATGTATGAATATTCAAATGAAAGAATGTTTGCTAGCTTAACCAAAAGTTATGATGTCAGAACTACCTGCATGTGATAACTGTAGACACAGTGCAGTTACTCCTGGGATATAGATTTTAAACATTTGAGGAGTATTAACTCTTTATTGATAAGGAATATTGGGAGAATGAGGAAGAGAGGATTAGGTGTTACAGGTTTAACCTTATTAGGAAAGTAAGTAAAAGTCGATGGTTCTTAAAGTGTGGCCTGTGTTCTGTGGATCAGTAGCATCAGCATTACCTGAGGTGTTAGAAATGCAAACTCTCAGGCTCTATCCTAGACCCATTTACTCAGAAACTCCGGAAGTGGGGGGCCAATCATTGGTATTTTAATAGGTCCTTTAGATAAGTCTGATGTATGGTAAGGTTTGAGAACGCTGATATAACACATTGGCTCTCAACTCTGGCTGCAAAGGATAGAATCACGTGAGGAGTTTTAAAAATATACTGATGGCTGGGCCCCAAACCAGATTGATCAAATCGGAATTTCTGAGAGTTGTGGACTTAATGTTTATTAACATTGGAGCAAGGATGTTTGTTATATATTCCCCAGATGAATTTAATATTCAGTCAGAGATAAGAACCACAGACAGAGGGCACTGGTTTGATTGTGTTGTTACTTTAGTTGTGGTTTTATATTTTTATTTTTTTATTAAAGAAAAAAACATATACAGAAAATTGTGTGTGCAACTTGATAAATTATTACAAGGTTAACCTATCCATGTAGCCGACACCTGGGCCAAGGTATAGACCATTACCTGCACCTTACAGTCTCCTTGAACTTTCTCCTAATCACTACCGTCTCCCACATCCTCTCAGGTGATCACTATTTTGACTTTTAACATTATTGATTTGTTTTGTAGGGCATTATTTTTTAAAAAGTATGGTCCTATATCATTGACATCAAAATAATCCGACATTCCTATTAAAATGCATATTCCTGGGCCCCACTTCAGACCTTCTGAAAAGATGGAAGTAGAAATTTCCAGTAGGGATGGAAGTAGAAATTTTAAACAAATTCTATATTTATTATTTTGCACTAAAATTTGAGAACAACTGTTAAAACGATTATTGCTATCACTCATTGCGTCTCTATGGGCCAATCCTATTCCAAGTGTTCTTCATATACGCATCTTATTTCATTGTTACAACAACACTCTGAGATAAATCCTAGAACTATTGCCATTTTTCAGAAAGTTGAACAGAGACTCATTTAGGTTCAGTGACTTGCGCAAGTTTATACTGCTTGTGAGAACTAGATGCAGTCTCCAGAGACTGCATGCTTAACATGCTTATTCTGTTTCCCTTAGGGAAAGCAGGTAAGACACGCAGATGTATCAGAATAGCACTGCCCCATCACTAACCTTTTAAAAAAAAAATTGATCTGGAATTAGGAAACATTCCAAATTTCCATTGGGAACAACACTTGTTCCCTCTCCCTTCTTTTGGTGTTCTTTTATTTTGCATACATTGTTCAAGATTCCCATATGATGCCAGGCGCGGTGGCTCATGCCTGTAATCTCAGCACTTTAGGAGGCCAACTCAGGTGGATCACTTGAGGTCAGGAGTTCGAGACCAGCCTGGCTGACATGGTGAAACCCTGTCTCTACTAAAAATACAACAATTAGCTGGGCTAGGTGGCACATGTCTGTAGTCTCAGCTAAACAGGAGGCTGTGGCACTTGAACCCAGGAGGAGGAGGTTGCAGTGAGCCAAGATCGCACCACTGCACTCCAACCTGGGCGACCGTGCGAGATCCTGTCTCAAAAAAAAAAAAAAAAGAAAAAAAAAAGATTCCCATGTGAGAAAATAAAAGTTATTGTTAGAATTTTAGTGACTTAAGGTATTGTCCCTTTAGATGGTTTCTTAAAAAAAAAAAGAATTATTTAGTACTAAAAGGTGAAGTTTGGAATGGAGGATCTAGGCAACAGTAGATGGGCCATTTCAGGTGGAAATGGGATATGTTTTGGGGCTAGAGCCATATTAGAAATTACAGACCATATTTTGTGGGTGACTGCTAGTACAATATATCTCCTGGTCTGTTTGGTGAGAATGTCTATTAGAAAGGAAGTGCATTCTCATTTGCATTGAAATTTGAAAAGTAATACAACAGTTGAAATTCTTAGCTTCACCTTTTTAGTACAAGGTTAGCAAATTATGAGCCCTTGGGGTAAATCTAGGCCTTGAGCAATGAGTGGTTTTTACATTGTTAAATGTAAAATTTAAAAAGACTGTTGGGCTTTCTATTAGAACACCTGTTTAAGAACTGACGGCATTGCCTCTTGGTTTGTAAAACATAAAATGTTCTTCTGGTATAGAAGATAATTCCAACATTGCAATTTACACCAACAAAAAGGGGTGCAGTCATGTTTGTTTACAACATAAAAACATAAATATTTCTTATAAAACTTAAAAACCCAATTAAGAAGTGTTTGTTGGATGTGTGTGTGTGTGTGCACGTGTGTGTGTAAGCCAAAGGCCTGGGATCCTCCTCTTAGTTGTGTTTGAGTGTAACCCAATATGGCAGTCCCTGGACTCTGATTATTGACTGACAATCAGCCTACCTGAGCTTTCCTTGCAGTTAGGCAGTTAGATGAACATCCTCCCCTGTAGCACATCTGTGTGTTCAAGGGCCTGCTTATTTTCTTCCTAAGAAATCAGTGAGCACTGGATAACTATACCTACAAAACACAGCATAAGATTTTATTGTGATCTCTCAGAAAAGCCTGGAGCTTGTTAGGAAAAATAAACTCTCCAAACCTGCTTTTCTAAACTCCTCCCATTACTGATTGCCTTCCTTGTATCGGATGTTGATCTAGGTCCTTTACATGGTCTCATTTAATTCTCTTGACTTCACTGTGAGATATTATTATCTTCCTTTTACAAATGCAGAAATACTGGGCACAGATACTTTTCTTAGAGCTTTGGCTCTGATTCTTCAACACGTGATGCAGGGATAGGGAAACCAAACAGGTGTTAGGCAGAAACACAGAGGAAATCTCTACATTAAATAATAACCTACGAGAGCATTATTATTTGAATGTCTAATTCATATATAAATAGGAAATCTCATTTTTTTGTGGCGTATGCAAGCAAATTCAAAAACATCCTTTAGGCACAGCAGGAATTTCAGGAGCAGATGCTTGCTTTGCTGTTTGCTGCTTGTTTTCTATTTGTTCTGCAGGCCATGGCCACAGGCCAGCTCTATATGTAGGTGGGATAGAAAATGGCCCAAATGCTTGACTTCTCTGTAGCTACAATGTAAGATTATGGATTAGGGGCGTGGGGCTTCCTTCCATTCCCCTATCTTTTTTGCCTATTTACTGATGTGTGAAATGCATTTAACAAGAGACAAAAACTTTCAATCACTAATTGAAGATACACTTCTTAGCAGCAACTCCCCAATACTCTGATACCAATCCATGTCTCCATTCTGGCACGTATCATGCTGTGCAGACTGCAAGTTATACTTCCATGTCTGCAACATCCAGCAGACTGTCAAGCCTAAAATAATTTGCTTATTAAATATTTGTTGAATGAATGAGAGCATACATTTGCATTTATGGAAAAATGACTGATATCAGACTTTCCCTGATAGCTGTTTTTGACAGGAATGGGTCTGGGTGCCTAATGGTTGAGGAAGGAGCTCCAGGAGAAGGGGAAAGAGCCAGAGAGAGGAGACAGAGAACACTAAAGCAAACTTAGTCTCTTTCACAGTTTCCTTTACAGTCAACCTCACATTGGCTAGCTGAAAATGGAGCTGTTTGAACAACATGAGAAAAATCTCTTACACTTGTTCTAGTGCAAAATTAAGCCAATGAGTACAAGTCTTTCTAGTATCCAAAGTGCATAGCATGCTACCTAGAACTATAATACTATCAAAAATAATGAAGCATCTTTTGGAAAATGAGCCTTAGCAGAGCACTTCAGTTTTGTGTGTTGGCAGAATTTTTGTTTTTGTTTTTTCTTTTTATCTTCTATGACTTGTTTTTAGGATTTAGAGTTAGCAGCCATCTACTTCACTGATTTAATCTGTAGTTCCTAGGGAACTGTTGTGAGGCAATGTGCATTGAACCTAGTAAGCTGGAATTAGTGACCTGTCCACAGCAAACTGGAAGTGCTAGACTGGAAATGCTCAGAAATTAATCCCTCCAGGGAGGAGCCCTCAACCAATGAGTGATGGGAGTCTGAGGACAAATACCCAAGCCCCCTTGCCTCTCTGGGCAGACACCCTAGGTAGGTGTTTTATACCATTTCCCCTTTCCCATAGGATTCAGCTCCATTCACTCCCAGTGGTAACTGCTTGAGGACACAGCCTTTATTTGTAGCCTTTCCTTCCTTCTCTCACTTTCCACTCACCTACTGGAGGTAGTGCTTCTTGTGCCTCCTCTAGAATCTTATTGCATTTGAATTGTTGCCATGGGGTCTGTTGAGAGAATGAGTGGCAGGGGAACCAAATGTCACAGAGAACCCAAATGAAGACAATGGGTTTTGCTCAGTAAACACAAGTATTTTGTGATCATCATTTAAAACAAGCTTGTCCAACCCACCGCCTGTGGGCTGCATGTGGCCCAGGACAGCTTTGAATGTGGCCCAACACAAATTCATAAACTTTCTTAAAACGTTATGATTTTTTTTGCGATTTTTTTTTTTTTTAGCTCATCAGCTGTCATTAGTGTTAGTGTATTTTACGTGTGGCCCAAAATAATTCTTCTTCTTCCACTGTGGCCCAGGGAGCCAAAAGATTGGACACTTAAAAACTACTGTGTATGTGTGTGTGGTTTCTTTTTTTTTTTTTTTTCCGTGTTGGGGATGGGTAATGGAGGGACAGGGGTGGGCTGTATGGGTTTCCCTTGACACTTGACCTCCCTGGCTTACTGTGGGCTATTAACTCATTGGTGTTGAGGGGGTGAGAGTCATTCTTGTCTACAAGTAACTGCATCATTCAGGAAAATCTCCTTTGCTTCACAGAGTCCTTTGCCATCGGCCTATTCATCAGCTCTGGCGCAGCTGATGTTGATGGCATTGCTCAGAGAGCCTCCTCGAAAAGCCGAGATGAGAAAAGCTATTTAGCTTCCATTTTAATCAGGTGCTAGTGCCTCTTTGACCTTGTCCTTGTGCACTTCCTCTTCCTCACCCGGCAGTGTTCCAGTTGTACCAGCAAGTGGTGGATAAATAGAGCATTTAGGTGAGGGTAAGGGGTGAGGCTCCTCTGTTCCTTGTGATGTGTCTCCCTTAGTTACACAATGTGGGTTGCAGCCCTGTAGCACGGGACATAATAGGACAGCAGTGTCAGACATTAGGAACGTGTCAGGATGATGAATTTACTATTACATTATCACCATTGGCAGCACACATAATGCACTATATCTCAATCAGTCATTTTCCATGGTTACATATTGTGTGGGATCAAGCTACTTTTTTTTCTTTTGGTTCTGAGTGATGCTTGTAAGGGTGGTGGTGAGAAGAGAGGCAGGAGTGGATAATTTTGGATAGCCTTGTTTAACTGTTTTTGGCAGGAGGCTAGGGGCTGTGGGGTGTGTGTGCGTGCGTGTGTGTGTGTGTGAGAGAGAAACAGAGAAACAGGAAGAGACAGAAAGAGGGAGAAAGAGAGAAAGAGAGAGACAGATGTGGGAGATGGGAACTGGGAGGGGGAAAAAAGGATGGAAGCAATATTATTATTAAAGCGGTTAAGCCTTAAAGTAAAAGTCTTTATTAGAAGCCATTTAGGAAACTTATGCCACATAAGAATTTACCTGTACTCCCCTTCCAGTGCCAATTTGCTCAGACCTAGGGTGGGAAATTGGAAGCTGTTATTTGTAACCACTGCTGGGGTATCAACCTGGAAAATGATCTTTAGCATCTCGTGTTTTCTCTGTTGCTTTCAGCTCTGCTGTGGACCCTCACTCACCTTGTGGCTGCTGGTCACTGCCTGGAACCCTTAGGCACATCTCACTGGTACACGGCTGCTTCCCTCCGTAGGATAAGCAGGGAGTTTGATCAGGACGAGGCATCCTTTCCATTTCTGCCGTCTTCCTTTATTCTCCATTGCATTATTAACACCACTCACAGGGCGATAGGAGTGTATCTGACTTACTGTGCTGGAAAGTTGTGGGACAATTAAAGGAAATTAAAGGGTGTGAGTTGAAAACTTAAATCTGTGTGGTAAGTATGACCTTTAAGAGGGTCTACGAGGAAAACATCAAGAAATGAAATTCTTCACAGTAGGGTACTTGTAGTAGGCCAATTAATAGTTAACCAAAGATGTCAGATTTTAATCCCTGGAGCCTATAAATGTTACCTTGTAAAGAAAACGTGTTTTTGCAGATATGGTTTGGCTAAGGAGCTTGACATGGGGAGATTATGCTGGATTATCCAGGTGGGCCCTGAATCCAGTCACATGTGTCCTTAAAACAGAGACAGGAGATTTTGCACAGAGAGGAGAAGCTGATATGAAAATGGAGGCAGAGATTGGAGTGATGTAGCCTCAAGCCAAAGAGAGCGAATGGCTGCAAAGCCTTGAAGAGGCTGGGCCCGGGTGCTTCCTGAAAGCCTCTGGAGGCAGAATTGTTCTGCTGATGCCTTGACTCCAGAATTTTGGGCTCCAGAACTGTGAGAGGAAACATTTGTGGTTTCTTTTCTTTTCTTTTTCTTTTTTCTTTTTTATGAGATGGAGTCTCAAAAAGCGGAGTGAGTGATCTCCGCTCACTGCAATCTGCACCTCCTGGATTCAAGCAATTCTCCTACCTCAGCCTCCCGAGTAGCTGGGACTACAGGCACACGCTGGATGCCCAGCTAATTTTTTGTATTTCAGTAAAGATGGGGTTTCACCATGTTGCCCAGGCTGGTCTCAAACTCCCGAGCTCAGGCAATCTGCCTGCTTTGGCCTCCCAAAGTGCTAGGATTACAGGCGTGAGCCACTGTGCCCAGCCAACGTTAATGTTTTCTTAAGCCACCATTCTTCTTCTCTTTCTTCTTGCAGTCAGTTTTCCCAAGGCTAAGTGGCTGGGCCTAAAATAATTGTGGCCACTCCACTCTGGGAGATGCGATTGTAGATTAAAGTACAATAAAACTGTCTAGATGGAGGTGGGGACTCTGGCACTCCAAGACTCACAGTGTGGTCCAGGGTGAACAGGGGTCTCTCTTTTGTGTCCTCTTTTTTTTTTTTTTCATGTTTTTAAATCAATTTCTTTGTTTTTTCTTTATTATACTTTAATTTCTGGGTTACATGTGTAGAACGTGCAGTTTTGTTACATAGGTATACACATGCCATGGTGGTTTGCTGCACCCATCAACCCGTCACCTACGTTAGGTATTTCTCCTAATGTTATCCCTCCCCTAGCCCCCCATCCCCCAAAGGCCCGGGTGTGTGATGTTCCCCTCCCTGTGTCCATGTGTTCTCACTGTTCAACTCCTACATATGAGTGAGAACATGCGGTGTTTGGTTTTCTGATCTTGTGATAGTTTGCTGAGAATGATGGTTTCCAGCTTCATCCATGTCCCTGCAAACGACATGAACTCATCCTTTTTAATGGCTGCATAGTATTCCATGGTGTATATGTGCCACATTTTCTTTATCCAGTCTATCATTGATGGACATTTGGGTTGGTTCCAAGTCTTTGCTATTGTGAATAGTGCTGCAATAAACACATGTGTGCATGTGTCTTTATTGTAGAATTATTTATAATCCTTTGAGTATATGCCCAGTAATGGGATTTGCTGGGTTAAACGGTATTTCTAGTTCTAGATCCTTAAGGAATCATGATGCTGTCTTCTACAATGGTTGAACTAATTTACACTCCCATCAACAGTGTAAAAGCGTTCATGTTTTTCCACAACCTCTCCAGCATCTGTTGTTTCCTGACTTTTTAATGATCGCCATTCTAACTGGCGTGAGATGGTATCTCATTGTGGTTTTGATTTGCATTTCTCTAATGATGAGTGATGATGAGCATTTTTTCATATGTCTGTTGGCTGTATAATTGCCTTCTTTTGAGAAGTGTCTGCTCATATCCTTTGCCCATCTTTTGATGAGGCTGTTTGCTTTTTTCTTGTAGATTTGTTTAAGTTCTTTGTAGATTCTGGATATTAGCCCTTGGTCAGGTGGATGGGTGGCAAAAATTTTCTCCCATTCTGTAGGTTGCCTGTTCATTCTGATGATAGTTTCTTTTGCTGTGCAGAAGCTCTTTAGTTTAATTAGATCCCATTTGTCAATTCTGGTTTTTGTTGCCATGGCTTTTGGTATTTTAGACATGAAGTCTTTGCCCACGCCTATGTCCTGAATGGTATTGCCTAGGTTTTCTTCTAGGATTTTTATGGTCCTAGGTCATACGTTTAAGTCTTCGATCCATCTTGAGTTGATTTTTGTATAAGGTCTAAGGAAGGGGTCCAGTTTCAGTTTTCTGCATATGGCTAGCCAGTTTTCCCAACACCATTTATTAAAAAGGAATCTTTTCCCCATTGCTTGTGTGTGTCAGGTTTGTCAAAGATCAGATGGTGGTAGATGTGTGGTGTTATTTCTGAGGCCTCCATTCTGATTCATTGGTCTATATATCTGTTTTGGTACCAGTACCATGCTGTTTTGGTTACTGTAGCCTTGTAGTAAAGTTTAAGTCAGGTAGTGTGATGCCTCCAGCTTTGTTCTTCTTACCCAAGACTGTCTTGGCTATGCGGGCTCTTTTTTGGTTCCATATGAAGTTTAAAGTAGTTTTTTCCAATTCTGTGAAGAAAGTCATTGGTAGCTTGATGGGGATAGCATTGAATCTATAAATTACTTTGGGCGGTATGGCCATTTTCACCATATTGATTCTTCCTATTCATGAGCATGGAATGTTTTTCCATTTGTTTGTGTCCTCTCTTATTTCCTTGAGCAGTGGTTTGTAGTTCTCCTTGAAGAGGTCCTTCACATCCCTTGTAAGTTGGATTCCTAGGTATTTTATTCTCTTTTTAGCAATTGTGAATGGGAGTTCACTCATGATTTGGCTCTCTGTTTGTCTGTTATTGCTGTATAGGAATGCTTGTGATTTTTGCATGTTGATTTTGTATCCTGAGACTGCTGAAGCTGCTTATCAGCTTAAGGAGATTTTGGGCTGAGACGATGGGGTTTTCTAAATATACAATCATGTCATCTGCAAACAGAGACAATGTGACTTCCTCTCTTCCCATTTGAATACCCTTTATTGCTTTTTCTTGCCTGATTGCCATGGCCAGAACTTCCAATACTATGTTGAATAGGAGTGGTGAGAGAGGGCATCCTTGTCTTGTGTTGGTTTTCAAAGGGAATGCTTCCAGTTTTTGCCCATTCAGTATGATATTGGCTATGGGTTTGTCATAAATAGCTCTAATTATTTTGAGATATGTTCCATTGATACCTAGTTTATCGAGAGTTTTTAGCATGAAAGCCTGTTGAATTTTGTCAAAGGCCTTTTCTGCATCTATTGAGATAATCATGTGGTTTTTTCATTGGTTCTGTTTATGTGATGGATTACATTTATTGGTTTGTGTATGTTGAACCAGCCTTGCATCCCCGGGATGAAGCCAACTTGATCGTGGTGGATATGCTTTTGATTTGCTGCTGGATTTGGTTTGCCAGTATTTTACTGAGGGTTTTGTATCTATGTGCATCAGAGATATTGGCCTAAAATCCTGTTTATTTTTTTGTTGTTGTGTCTCTGCCAGGCTTTGGTATCAGGATGATGCTGGGCTCATAAAATGAGTTAGGGAGGATTCCCTCTTTTTCTATTGATTGGAATAGTTTCAGAAGGAATGGTACCAGCTCCTCTTTGTACCTCTGGTAGAATTCGGCTGTGAATCTGTCTGGTCCTGAACTTTTTTTGGTTGATAGGCTATTAATTATTGCCTCAATTTCAGAACCTGTTATTAGTCTATTCAGAGATTCAACTTCTTCCTGGTTTAGTCTTTGGAGGGTGTATATGTCCAGGAATTTATCCTTTTTTTCTAGATTTTCTAGTTTACTTGCATAGAGGTGTTTATAGTATTCTCTGATGGTAGTTTGTATGTCTGTCGAATCGGTGGTGATATCCCCTTTATCATTTTTTATTGTGTCTATTTGATTCTTCTCTCCTTTCTTTTTTATTCATCTTGCTAGCAGTCTATCTATTTTGTTGATATTTCAGAAAACCAGCTCTTGGATTCATTGATTTTTTTGAAGGTTTTTTGTGTCTCGGTCTTCTTCAGTTCTGCTCTAATCTTAGTTATTTCTTGCCTTCTAGTAGCTTTTGAATTTGTTTGCTCTTGCTTCTCTAGTTCATTTAGTTGTGATGCTAGGGTGTCGATTTTAGATCTCTCCTGCTTTCTCTTGTGGGTATTTAGTGCTATAAATTTCCCTCTACACACTGCTTTAAATGTGTCCCAGAGATTCTGGTACATTGTGTGTTTTTTCTCATTGGTTTCAAAGAACATCTTTATTTCTGCCTTCATTTTGTTATTTACCCAGTAGGCATTCAGGAGCAGGTTTTTCAGTTTCCATGTAGTTGTGTGGTTTTGAGTGAGATTCTTAATCCTGAGTTCTAATTTGATTGCACTGTGGTCTGAGAGATAGTTTGTTATTTCTGTTCTATTACATTTGCTGACGAGTGTTTTCCTTCCAATTATGTGGTCAATTTTAGAATAAGAGTGATGTGGTGCTGAGAAGAATGTATATTCCGTTGATTTGTAGTGGAGAGTTCTGTAGATGTCTATTAGGTCTGCTTGGTTCAGAGCTGAGTTGAAGTCTTGGATATCCTTGTTAATTTTTTGACTTGTTGATCTGTCTAATATTGACAGTGGGGTGTTAAAGTCTCCCATTATTATTGTGTGGGAGTCTCAGTCTCTTTGCAGGTCTCTAGGAACTTGCTTTATGAATCTGGGTGCTCCTGTATTGGGTGCATATATACTTAGGATAGTTAGCTCTTGTTGAATTGATCCCATTACCATTATGTAATGGTCTTCTTTGTCTCTTTTGATCTTTGTTGGTTTAAAGTCTGTTTTATTAGAGACCAGGATTGCAACCCCTGCTTTTTTTTTGCTTTCCATTTGCTTGTTAGGTCCTCCTCCAACCCGTTGTTTTGAGCCTATGTGTGTCTTTGCACATGAGATGGCTCTCCTGAATACAGCACACTGATGGGTCTTGACTCTTTATCCAATTTACCAGTCTGTGTCTTTTAATTGGAGCATTTAGCCCATTTACATTTAAGGTTAATATTTTTGTGTGTGAATTTGATCCTGTCATTATGATGCTAGTTGGTTATTTTGCCCGTTAATTGATGTAGTTTCTTCATAGCATTGATGGTCTTTACAATTTGGCATGTTTTTGCAGTGGCTGGTACCAGTTGTTCCTTTCCATGTTTAGTGCTTCCTTCAGGAGCTCTTGTAAGGCAGGCCTGGTGGTGACAAAAAGCTCTCAGCATTTGCATGTCTGTAAAGGATTTTATTTCTCCTTCACTTATGAAGCTTAGTTTGGCTGGATATGAAATTCTGGGTTGCAAGTTCCTTTTTTTTTTTTTTTTTAAGAATGTTGAATATTGGCCCCCACTCTCTTCTGGCTTGTAGAGTTTCTGCTGAGAGATCCACTGTTAGTCTGATGGGCTTCCCTTTGTGTGTAACCCAACCTTTCTCTCTGGCTGCCCTTAACATTTTTTTCTTCATTTTAACCTTGGTGAATCTGACAGTTATGTGTCTTGGGGTTGTTCTTCTGAAGGAATATCTTAGCGGCATTCTCTGTATTTCCTGAATTTGAATGTTGGCCTGTCTTGCTAGGTTGGGGAAGTTCTCCTGGCTAATATCCTGAGGAGTGATTTCTAACTTGGTTCCATTCTCCCTGTCACTTTCAGGTACACCAATCAAATGTAGATTTGGTCTTTTCACATAGTCCCATATTTCTTGGAGGCTTTGTTCATTTCTTTTCACTCTTTATTCTCTAATCTTGTCTTCTCACTTTATTTCATTAATTTGATCTTCAATCACTGATATCCTTTCTTGTGCTTGATCGAATCGACTATTGAAGCTTGTGTATACTTCTCAAATTTCTCGTACTGTGGTTTTCAGGTCCATCAGCTAATTTAAGCTCTTCTCTACACTGGTTATTCTAGTTAGTCATTCATCTAATCATTTTTCAACGTTTTTAGCTTCCTTGCAATGGGTTAGAACATGCTCCTTTAGCTTGGAGAAGTTTGTTATTATCAACCTTCTGAAGCCTACTTCTGTCAATTCATCAAACTCATTCTCCATCCAGTTTTGTTCCCTTGCTGGTGAGGAGTTACGTTCCTTTGGAGGAGAAGAGGTATTCTGGTTTTTGGAATTTTCAGCCTTTCTGCTCTGGTTTCTCCCCATCTTTGTGGTTTTATTTACCTTTGATCTTTGATGTTGGTGACCTACAGATGGGGTTTTGGTGTACATGTCCTTTTTGTTGATGTTGATTGTATTCCTTTCTGTTTGTTAGTTTTCCTTCTAACAGACAGGCTCCTCAGCTGCAGGTTTGTTGGAGTTTTCTGAAGGTCCACTCCAGACCCTGTTTGTCTGGGTAGCACAGCCTGCAGAACTGCAAAGATTGCTGCCTGCTCCTTCCTCTGGAAGCTTTGTCTTGGAGGGGCACCTGCCTGTATGAGGTGTCTGTCGGCCCCTACTGGGAGATGTCTCCCAGTCAGGCTACATGGGGGTCAGGGACCCACTTGAGGAAGCAGTCTTTCCATTATTAGAGCTCGAATGCCATGCTAGGATAACCACTGCTCTCTTCAGAGCTGTCAGGTAGGGACGTTTAAGCCTGGAGAAGCTGTCTGCGGCCTTTTGTTCAGATATGCCCTGTCCCCAGAGGTGAAATCTAGAGAGGCAGTAGAGCTTGCTGAGTTGCAGTGGGCTCCACCCAGTTTGTGCTTCCCTGCCACTTTGTTTACACTGTGAACATAGAACCGCCTACTCAAGCCTCAGTAATGGCAGATGCCCCTCTCCCGACCAAGCTCCCGCTTGGTTGATCTCAGACTGCTTCACTAGCAGTGAGCAAGGCTCCATCGGTGTGGGATGTGCCGAGCCAGGCATGGGAGGGGATCTCCTGGTCTGCCGGTTGCGAAGACCATGGGAAAAGTGCAGTATTGGGCAGAAGTGTACTGCTCCTCCAGGTACAGTCACTCATGGTTTCCCTTGGCTGGGAAAGGAAAGTCCCCTGACCCCTTGCACTTTCCGGGTGAGGCGACGCTCCATCCTGCTTTGACTCGCCCTCCATGGGCTGCACCCGCTGTCCAACCAGTCCCAGTGAGATGAACCAGGTACCTCATTTAGAAATGCAGAAATCACCCCTCTTCTGCATTGATCTTGCTGGGAGCTGTAGATTGGAGCTGTTCCTATTTGGCCATCTTGGAAGCAATCCCCTTGTGTCCTCTTTAAGCTCTCACAGCAATATGAGTGCAGTTGCTCCTGTTTATTCTCTGAACTTACATGCAGGCATGCATCTGTGCACACGTGGGCACACATACACACACACATTCCTTTTAGGGGTACACGTGAATTCTCAGAGAGAGAGTGCAGTCTAAACTCATAAGGAGAAAGAAAAAAAACCCATCCCTAACTGCTTTGTAATTTGCAAGGTGTGATTCTTTCCACAGAGTCAGGCAACTATACTATTATGCCAAATAGTGTGGATTCCCTTCCTTTCTTCTCCCTTCCAAATTGCTCCCCTTTGGGATCTTGTGGAAACAGAGGGTCTAGTGCTGTACCATTGGGCTACTGGTGGCTGTCCCCTTAGTTACCCAAGGATGAGCATTGAGATTATTGCCTTGAGAAGGATTCCATTAAAATTTTAGTCTAGATTTTGCAAGGCAGAAGGCAGGTGACTGACTTATTTTCCAGCTTACTCAGTTGACTGGGACAGTGGGACTCTGGTCAGAAGGGCTGGGAGAGAAGAACTAGTTCCATCATAGAAGCAGGCAGAGGAAGCTCTGCCTTGCTTGGGGGTCATGTTGCCAGTTGATGGTGTGGCAAGATTTAAAGGAGGGCTAAGAGCTCTCATGCCCAAAGATACCCTAACCTCTTCACCAGTCAAATTCTCACCATTAACAAGAGCTCAGTATCTGGTTGTCTGGAAAGCAAAGTGGAACCTTGGTCGGGCTGTCTTTCTCAAGCTGTCTCCCAGAATACCTTAACTATGTTTGAGAATGTCCATCTCTTAACATCTCTGCTGATATTGTTAGACTTTTTAATCTTGTGTCACTCTTTTATGTAAGAAATAGGATCCTACTCTGATTTTAATTCACATTTCCTTGATTACTATTGAGATTAAACATCTTCTCATATGTTTATTGACAATTTGGGTTTTTTCTTCTACAAATTTCCTATTAATAGCCTTTTTCTCTATTTGTGTAATTTAGGTTTCTCATATTATTAATTTGTAGAAATTCTTTATATATTCCTGAATATATAATACAAACAGTTGTTGATATATCTTCTCCCAGTCAGTTGCTTGTCTTTTCACTTTATTTATTTTTTAAGGGCGGGGGGGTTATGTGGGATTTTATATTTTTATGTAATTGAATTTGTTAATCTTTTTTCTTTATGGTTTGGCTTTTTGTATCTCATTTAATAAATCTTTCCCTACCCTCAGATCATAGTGATATATGGCTATATTTTCCTGTAAAAGTTTCAGAGTTTTTTTATATTTAAGTATTTTAATCCATGTGGATTTTATTTTTTTATACAATATAAAGTAGGGATATAAATTACATATATATTTCCATTTGGAATCCATGTTTTAGAGTTATTTATTTTGATTATAATGCCACCTTTATTTATATGTGAGTGTGTGCATGTATGCATGTGTGTGTATATATATGTATATACATGTGTATATATGTATATGTGTGTGTTTGTGTGTATATACATAAATTATATCATATATAATTTGTGTTGCTGGGTGCAGTGGCTAACGACTGTAATCCCAGCACTTTGGGAGGCTGAGGTGGGCAGATTGCTTGAGCTTAGGAGTTCGAGACCAGCCTGAGCAACATGGTGAAACCCTGTCTCTACGAAAAATACAAAAATAGGCTGGTGTGGTGGTGTGCATCTGTAGTCCCAGCTACTTGGGAGCTGAGGATCACTTGAGCCTGGGACTTTGAGGCTGCAATGAGCTGAAATCATGTCACTGCACTGCAGCTTGGGTGACAGAGTGAGACTCTGTCTCAAAATAATAATAATAATAATAAAATCAAACAAAATGAATAAATAAAGTGTCTGTTCTCTTCCATTGATCTGTTTGTCTATTTCTGCCCTAATATTCATAGTTTTAATAATTACAACTTAACATTAAGCCTCGATATCTAGAACAGTAAAATTCCCCTCCTCCTCTAACTTCTTTAAAATTATCTTGACTACTATTTGCCTTTTACCATATTTTTGCATGTTTTAACATAATTGAGAACATGTTATGTATATAATTTCATAACCTGCTACTTTTCACTTAACCTGATAACATATGCATTTTCAAATGTTATTAAAACTCTTGACATTTAAAACAGCTCAATAAAATATGATGGAGCACACAGGGAAATAACATGAACTGTATCGTATTTTATTTAACCATTTCCATATGGCTGGATACTTGCTTTATTTTCATATTTTCTTGTTATAAATAATCGTACCATAGTGAACATCTTTGTGTATGAAGTTTTTTTCCATCTTTAGGATGATTACACTAGAATATATTCTCAGAAATAGAATATAATTAAAATTTTATTTTTAAGAGAATTTAAAGTTCTCCCCAGGACTTTCTGAAACTGTACATTTAACCACGTCTTAATTAGCACCGGGTACTCTACTTTTTTAATTGAAAGATAAACTCATCTTGTTTAATAATTTTGCCTGTAGCTGGCTCTAAAAAGACCAAATTTTCCTTCTTTTTTTTTAAAACTTTTATTTACTTATTTATTTATTTATTTATTTATTTTTTATTATACTTTAAGTTTTAGGGTGCATGTGCACAACGTGCAGGTTTGTTACATATGTATACATGTGCCATGTTGGTGTGCTGCACCCATTAACTCGTCATTTAACATTAGGTACATCTCCTAATGCTATCCCTCCCCCCTCCCCCCACCCCACAACAGGCCCCGGTGTGTGATGTTCCCCTTCCTGTGTCCATGTGTTCTCATTGTTCAATTCCCACCTATGAGTGAGAACATGCGGTGTTTGGTTTTTGTCCTTGTGATAGTTTTCTGAGAATGATGGTTTCCAGCTTCATCCATGTCCCTGAAAAGGACATGAACTCATCATTTTTCATGGCTGCATAGTATTCCATGGTGTATATGTGCCACATTTTCTTAATCCAGTCTATCATTGTTGGACATTTGGGTTGGCTCCAAGTCTTTGCTATTGTGAATAATGCCACAATAAACATATGTGTGCATGTGTCTTTATAGCAGCATGATTTATAATCCTTTGGGTATATACCCAGTAATGGGATGGCTGGGTCAAATGGTATTTCTAGTTCTAGATCCTTGAGGAATCGCCACACTGACTTCCACAATGGTTGAACTAGTTTACAGTCCCACCAACAGTGTAAAAGTGTTCTTATTTCTCCACATCCTCTCTAGCACCTGTTGTTTCCTGACTTTTTAATGATTGCAATTCTAACTGGTGTGAGATGGTATCTCATTGTGGTTTTGATTTGCATTTCTCTCATGGCCAGTGATGATGAGCATTTTTTCATGTGTCTTTTGGCTGCATAAATGTCTTCTTTTGAGAAGTGTCTGTTCATATCCTTCGCCCACTTGTTGATGGGGTTATTTGCTTTTTCTTGTAAATTTGTTTGAGTTCATTGTAGATTCTGGATATTAGCCCTTTGTCAGATGAGTCGATTGCAAAAATTTTCTCCCATTCTGTAGGTTGCCTGTTCATTCTGATGGTAGTTTCTTTTGCTGTGCAGAAGCTCTTTAGCTTAATTAGATCCCATTTGTCAATTTTGGCTTTTGTTGCCATTGCTTTTGGTGTTTTAGACATGAAGTCCTTGCCCATGCCTGTGTCCTGAATGGTATTGCCTAGGTTTTCTTCTAGGGCTTTTATGGTTTTGGGTCTAACATTTAAGTCTTTAATCCATCTTGAATTAATTTTTGTATAAGGTGTAAGGAAGGGATCCAGTTTCAGCTTTCTACATATGGCTAGCCAGTTTTCCCAGCACCATTTATTAAATAGGGAATCCTTTCCCTATTTCTTGTTTTTGTCAGGTTTGTCAAAGATCAGATAGTTGTAGATATGTGGCATTATTTCTGAGGGCTCTGTTCTGTTCCATTGATCTACATCTCTGTTTTGGTACCGGTACCATGCTGTTTTGGTTGCTGTAGCCTTGTAGTATTGTTTGAAGTCAGGTAGTGTGATGCCTCCAGCTTTGTTCTTTTGGCTTAGGATTGATTTGGCAATGCGGGCTGTTTTTTGGTTCCATATGAACTTTAAAGTAGTTTTTTCCAATTCTGTGAAGAAAGTCATTGGTAGCTTGATGGGGATGGCATTGAATCTATAAATTACCTTGGGCAGTATGGCCATTTTCATGATATTGATTCTTCCTACCCATGAGCATGGAATGTTCTTCCATTTGTTTGTATCCTCTTTTATTTCCTTGAGCATTGGTTTGTAGTTCTCCTTGAAGAGGTCCTTCACATCCCTTGTAAGTTGGATTCCTAGGTATTTTATTCTCTTTGAAGCAATTGGGAATGGGAGTTCACTCATGATTTGGCTCTCTGTTGTCTGTTATGGCTACGTAAGAATGCTTGTGATTTTTGCATATGGATTTTGTATCCTGAGACTTTGCTGAAGTTGCTTATCAGCTTAAGGAGATTTTGGACTGAGACGATGGGGTTTTCTAGATATACAATCATGTCATCTGCAAACAAGGACAATTGGACTTCCTCTTTTCCTAATTGAATACCCTTTATTTCCTTCTCCTGCCTAATTGCCCTGGCCAGAACTTCCAACACTATGTTGAATAGGAGTGGTGAGAGGGGGCATCCCTGTCTTGTGCCTGTTTTCAAGGGGGAGTGCTTCCAGTTTTTGCCCATTCAGTATGATATTGGCTGTGGGTTTGTCATAAATAGCTCTTATTATTTTGAGATACATCCCATTAATACCTAATTTGTTGAAAGCTTTTAGCTTGAAGGGCTGCTGAATTTTGTCAAAGGCCTTTTCTGCATCTACTGAGATAATCATGTGGTTTTTGTCTTTGGTTCTGTTTATATGCTGGAGTACATTTATTGATTTGCATATGTTGAACCAGCCTTGCATCCCAGGGATGAAGCCTACTTCATCATGGTGGATAAGCTTTCTGATGTGCTGCTGGATTCGGTTTGCTCGTATTTTATTGAGGACTTTTGCATCGATGTTCATCAGGGATATTGGTCTAAAATTTTCTTTTTTTGTTGTGTCTCTGCCAGGCTTTGGTATCAGGATGATGCTGGCCTCATAAAATGAGTTAGGGAGGATTCCCTCTTTTTCTATTTACTGGAATAGTTTCAGAAGGAATGGCACCAGCTCCTCCTTGTACCTTTGGTAGAATTCAGCTGTGAATCTGTCTGGTCCTGGACTTTTTTTGATTGGTAAGCTATTAATTATTGCCTCAATTTCAGAGCCTGTTATTGGTCTATTCAGAGATTCAACTTCTTTCTGGTTTAGTCTTGGGAGGGTGTATGTGTCGAGGAATTTATCCATTTCTTCTAGATTTTCTAGTTTATTTGCATAGAGGTGTTTATAGTATTCTCTGATGGTAGTTTGTATTTCTGTGGGATCGGTGGTGATATCCCCTTTATCATTTTTTATTGCATCTATTTGATTCTTCTCTCTTTTCTTCTTTATTAGTCTTGCTGGCGGTCTATCAATTTTGTTGATTGTTTCAAAAAACCAGCTCTTGGATTCATTGATTTTTTTGCAGGGTTTTTTATGTCTCTATTTCTTTCAGTTCTGCTCTGATCTTAGCTATTTCTTGCCTTCTGCTAGCTTTTGAATGTGTTTGCTCTTGCTTCTCTAGTTCTTTTAATTGTGACGTTAGGGTGTCAATTTTAGATCTTTCCTGCTTTCTCTTGTGGGCATTTAGTGCTATAAATTTCCCTCTACACACTGCTTTAAATATGTGCCAGAGATTCTAGTATGTTGTGTCTTTGTTCTCGTTGGTTTCAAAGAACATCTTTATTTCTGCCTTCATTTCGTTATGTACCCAGTAGTCACTCAGGAGCAGGTTGTTCAGTTTCCATGTAGTTGAGCGGTTTTGAGTGAGTTTCTTAATCCTGAGTTCTAGTTTGATTGCACTGTGGTCTGAGAGACAGTTTGTTATAATTTCTGTTCTTTTACATTTGCTGAGGAGTGCTTTACTTCCAACTGTGTGGTCAATTTTGGAATAGGTGTGGTGTGGTGCTGAGAAGAATGTATATTCTGTTGATTTGGAGTGGAGAGTTCTGTAGATGTCTATTAGGTCTGCTTGGTGCAGAGCTGAGTTCAATTCCTGGATATCCTTGTTAACTTTATGTCTCATTGATCTGTCTAATGTTGACAGTGGGGTGTTAAAGTTTCCCATTATTATTGTGTGGTAGTCTAAGTCTCTTTGTAGGTCCCTAAGGACTTGCTTTATGAATCTGGGTGCTCCTGTATTGGGTGCATATATATTTAGGATAGTTAGCTCTTCTTGTTGAATTGATCCCTTTATCATTATGTAATGGCCTTCTTTGTCTCTTTTGATCTTTGTTGGTTTAAAGTCTGTTTTATCAGAGAGTAGGATTGCAACCCCTGCCTTTTTTTGTTTTCCATTTGCTTGGTAGATCTTCCTCCATCCCTTTATTTTGAGCCTATGTGTGTCTCTGCATGTGAGATGGGTTTCCTGAATACAGCACACTGATGGGTCTTGACTCTTTATCCAATTTGCCAGTCTGTGTCTTTTAATTGGAGAATTTAGCCCATTTACATTTAAGGTTAATATTGTTATGTGTGAATTTGATCTTGTCATTATGATGTTAGCTGGTTATTTTGCTTGTTAGTTGATGCAGTTTCTTCCTAGCCTCAATGGTCTTTACAATTTGGCGTGTTTTTGCAGTGGCTGGTACCAGTTGTTCCTTTCCATGTTTAGTGCTTCCTTCAGGAGCTCTTTTAGGGCAGTCGTGGTGGCGACAAAATCTCTCAGCATTTGCTTGTCTGTAAAGGATTTTATTTCTCCTTCACTTATGAAGCTTAGTTTGGCTGGATACGAAATTCTGGATTGAAAATTCTTTTCCTTAAGAATGTTGAATATTGGCCCCCACTCTCTTCTGGCTTGTAGAGTTTCTGCTGAGAGATCCACTGTTAGTCTGATGGGCTTCCCTTTGTGTGTAAGCCAACCTTTCTCTCTGGCTGCCCTTAACATTTTTTCCTTCATTTCAACTTTGGTGAATCTGACAATTATGTGTCTTGGAGTTGCTCTTCTCAAGGAGTATCTTTGTGGCATTCTCTGTATTTCCTGAATTTGAATGTTGGCCTGCCTTGTTAGATTGGGGAAATTCTCTGGGGTAATATTCTGCAGAGTGTTTTCCAAGTTGTTTCCATTCTCCCCATCACTTTCAGGTACACCAATCAGACGTAGATTTGGTCTTTTCACATAGTCCCATATTTCTTGGAGGCTTTGTTTGTTTCTTTTTATTCTTTTTCTCTAAACTTCTCTTCTCACTTCATTTCATTCATTTGATCTTCCAACACTGATACCCTTTTTTCCAGTTGATCTAATCGGCTACTGAGGCTTGTGCATTCGTCACGTAGTTCCAGTGCCATGGTTTTCAGCTCCATCAGGTCCTTTAAGGACGTCTCTGCATTGGTTATTCTAGTTGGCCATTTGTCTAATCTTTTTTCAAGGTTTTCAACTTCTTTGCCATGGGTTCGAACTTCCACCTTCAGCTCAGAGAAGTTTGATTGTCTGAAGCCTTCTTCTCTCAACTCATCACAGTCATTCTTTGTCCAGCTTTGTTCTGTTGCTGGTGAGGAGCTGCGTTCCTTTGGAGGAGGAGAGGCACTCTGATTTTTAGAATTTTCAGTTTTTCTGCTCTGTTTTTTCCCCATCTTTGTGGTTTTATCTACCTTTGGTCTTTGATGATGGTGATGTACAGATGGGGTTTTGGTGTGGATGTCCTTTCTGTTTGTTCATTTTCCTTCTAACAGTCAGGACCCTCAGCTGCAGGTCTGTTGGAGTTTGCTGGAGGTCCACTCCAGACCCTGTTTGCCTGGGTATCAGCAGAGGAGGCTGCACAACATCGAATATTGGTGAACAGCAAATGTTGCTGCCTGATTGTTCCTCTGGAAGTTTTGTCTCAGAGGAGTACCCGGCTGTGTAAGGTGTCAGTCTGCCCCTACTGGGGGGTGCCTCCCCAGTTAGGCTACTTGGGGGTCAGGGACCCACTTGAGGAGGCAGTCTGTCCATTCTCAGATCTCCAGCTGGGTGCTGGGAGAACCACTACTGTCTCCCAAGCTGTCAGACAGGGACATTTAAGTCTGCAGAGGTTTCTGCTGCATTTTGTTTGGCAATGCCCTGCCCCCAGAGGTGGAGTCTACAGAGGCAGGCAGGCCTCCTTGAGCTGTGGTGGGATCCACCCAGTTCAAGCTTCCTGGCTGCTTTGTTTATCTATTGAAGCCTCAGCAATGGCGGGCTCCCCTCTCCCAGCCTCGCTGCCACCTTGCAGTTTGATCTCAGACTGCTGTGCTAGCAGTGAGCAAGGCTCCGTGGACATAGGACCGTCTGAGCCATGTGCGGTATATAATCTCCTGGTGTGCTGTTTGCTAAGACAGTCAGAAATGCGCAGTGTTAGGGTGGGAGTGACCTGATTTTCCAGGTGCCGTCTGTCACCCCTTTCCTTGGCTAGGAAAGGGAATTCCCTGACCCCTTGTGCTTCCCGGGTGAGGGATGCCTCACCCTGCTTGGGCTCATGCTCAGTGTGCTGCACCTACTGTCCTGCACCCCCTTTTCGACAATACCCAGTGAGATGAACCTGGTACCTCAGTTGGAAATGCAGAAATTATTCGTCTTCTGTGTCGCTCACGCTGGGAGCTGTAAACTGGAGCTGTTCCTATTTGGCCATCGTGGCTAGAGTCCAAAAAGACCAAATTTTCTAACAACACTGAGCAGTATTCCTAAATATTGAGGAAGGAATGGAGTAACAATAATTGTTTGCATGGGGTGGCATTTGAATGAGAGAGAGAAGGGCTTAAAAAAATTAATCCCTTCTTAAAGAAATTAAACTCTTCTATTTTCATGTCAGGAATGAGGATATTTCTGTTGATTTAACTAACTATTCTCATTTCTTCCTCATGTTCCCTGATTTCATATGCAGATTTTAGAATATAGAGCTCTTTGACAGATTATTTAAATCCCAGTGAGGTGGAACAGCATTCAGATTGTTTATAATGACTATCATCAGTGGCAAATTAGTTTAGCCTGTCTCAGTTTATTCTATTTGACAGCTTCATGTTTATTTCACACTATAGAGGCTGAAAAAGAAAACACGTGTAAAAGAGAACTTATTTTTCACTTAATTAAATGAATAAGAAACACAACCAAGAATGTGTTTAGGACCCTGTCCTGGCCACAAAAAGAAGCTGACCCTGAAAGATGAAGCCAATTAGAGTTTCCTAGTAGGTTTGCTTTACTATTTTGTTTTTGACATACTAGTTTCTTTTTTATTGAACTGTGTCAAATTTTTATTTTTCTAGGAAGGAAATTTAAGAAATAGTCAACTCATGGTAATTGCATGATTGCTTGGCCTTTAGAATGTGTTATCTGTGACCCATATCTTCTAGCCATGAGTTTGACAAATGATGCACTTTTACCTGTTACTTATTACAATCAGAAGGTTAACATTTTTTTTTTAACAGAGTCGTCCTTGTGCAGGTGCCATGCTAATCTTCTTTGTGTCATTCCAATTTTAGTATATGTGCTGCCAAAGTGAGCACAAGAATAGTTTTAACGTTTCTGCAAATTTGCTTCTTGATGATCTGCTTGGATACTACCCTTTCTTTAGGGTCAACAGATGTTTTGTTCTAGGCCTGTCTGTTTCACCAGCTTCTAGTCAGTGTCTCTAATTAGTGCAAAGTAGTATTGGTAGCATAAATTGAACACAATAAGAAAGAGGGATCTATTTATGGGAAACATATTATAATTTGCTTCCAATAATCTGGTTTCACAAAGAGAGCATGGGTATCTAACTGGGACTGGACATTTAACAACATGTGAAAGCAACCATTCACCAAGCTCAACTGTACAAGGGGTAGTGTAGGGAAGAGATTAGAAGAAGGGCTGCCTGTACCAGAAACTGCCTGGGTTTGTACGCTGATACCACTATATTCTAGTTGTGTGACCTTGATCAAGTTTCTTAATCTCTCTGTGCCTCAGTTTACTTATCTGTGAAATAAAGTTGTAAAGATTAAATTAGTTAACATTATGTACATTGTTTGGCACATGTAATTACTAGGTAAATATTTGTGATTATTATCATTTTCTATCTGGAACCTTGAACAAAGTCCAAAGGTGGTGAACACATTGGGTCTCAGGGAGACTTCTGGGGTCTCAGTCTATTCCGAAAGAATTACATGTTAGTGTCACAGGTTGAGTTCCCTTGGAAGCAGCCTCTGAGATTACCATGCAGGATCTGTTCTGAGATTAGCATTAGGGACTGTTCTTGAGAATATTACCCAAGAAAGGGAAGAAGCAGATCGGATGAAGGGAGTTGTTGGGCTGTGATGTCGTTTTAACAAAGGCATCAGGTAGCCATATGGGAGTCTAAAGCTGGTATGGCTCTTTGGAGTTGTTCTGACTTGGGGCTAGAGGTGGAGGCCTTTATATTCCTGCATCAACCAGTCAGTGGCTGTGGGCTTCCCCAGGAAGCCAGTGTGACCCTGGGAGCAGAAGACTGTCTATATGCAAGGTGGTTCCGGAAGAAGGCTGGCAGCTGAGGACAGAATGTCAGCAGCACTCCCACCAGTTGGGGGAATAAACTCCTCAATCCTGAAGGCTTACTGAGGTGGTACATCACAGTATCCACTGTAGCCAGAGTTACATTGTGACCTTTGAGGTCACTGAATTCCACCTCACCTCCCACTCCTGTCTCATTTGCTCATCTGGTATTTAAGCCACCTCTACGTGCCTACCTTACTGCACTTTGTCCCCATTGGTTCATTCTTCCACAGCAACTCCCTCTGTGGACCTTTAACCTTCTTGTCACTGTCATCCACTATTTTTCTCTGACCTGGTCAGATCTTCACATTCATTTCTGATCCCTGACACACAGTCTTCCTCTTCTGTTTAGATCTGCTCCCATTCGAGGCAACTTCTCCATGTAAATGACCCAGTTAACAACACATTGGTTTCACAGTTCTTCATCACACAGAGTAGGTCAACTTCTTTCCATCATCATTACCCACTCCAGATCAAGCCAACTCTATTTCTCACCAGGGCAGCTACATTTGCCTTTCCAGACCCACATGTGCCCCAGCTCAAACTGTTCTGTAGCATTGGGAGTGTTCTCAAGACATTGATGATGTCTTTCCTGCCCTGCTTAAAACTCGTAAGTGACTTTCTGTTGCATATAGAATAAACCCTTAACCCATGGGCTGCAAGGCTCTCTGTGTCCACATCTCTGGTTGCATCTTGCATCACTATCCACAGAGTACTCTGCATTCTGGCTGTACTGACTTTCTAAGTTATTTGAAAACTCCATGATCCTCTTGCTGTCTTTGCATGTGCATTGCTCTCCATCTCTAATACCTAGTATTAGGTATTACCTAATCACCTCATCACCTAGTCAATATATGCTTCATACTTCAGGAGCCATTGAATCATCTCTCACTTAAGGAAGACTTCCCTGACTCTCGAGACGATATGGGGCGTCCTATTACAGGGTCTGTAAATACATTTCCTTCTTCCCAGAACTTAGAACAAGCTGTAATAATATATTTGCAAGGTTTTGATTAATATTTGTCTTCTCCTCTAGCATATCTGGAACTGCTTGCCCTCAGATCTATTTCTTGTACTTTCCCTGTTTTGAACCCTGTTGCAGGCTATGGCTCCCAGCCTCCTGAGTCTGTGAGCTTCAGGCTGGGTTTGCCTAGTGTCAGGCAATGCCAGGAAATTGGGGATTGGGGAGAAGAAGGAAGAGCTCTGACTCTCTCACTCTTTACTTTCGCTACAGCTAAAAAACAGTTATATAGAAAATACAGAAGCAGAATTTATAGATCTGTGTTTTATAGCAGTCTTTCATTGGAAGATTATTATGTGTATTTAATGTGTATAATAATGTGTATTTCTTTCTCTCTTTTCTTCCTTTCTCCCACTATTCCCCTCTCTATTTCCCTTCCCTTCCCTTCTCTTCCCTCCCTCCCTCCCTCCCTCCCTCCCTCCCTTCCTTCCTTCCTTCCTTCCTTCCTTCCTTCCTTCCTTCCTTCCTTCCTTCCTTCCTTCCTTCCTTCTTTCCTTCCTTCCTTCCTTCCTCTGTCTCCAGTTTTCTCTGTTGTCTTTGGAGTTGAGCCCAGTTTCTGCCCTTCACTGCAAAACCCCATTGCAGTGGTCCCTATATCTATCATGATGGTCCTGAATGAAGTCTGCCTTACTGTTCTTTACCAACTGTTATGAACAATTTTTTCTTTCAGAGATGACAAGGTAAATTAATTAGAAAATTAATTAATTAAGGAAAAACCCCAGAAGGAATACAATGCTGGGGCCGGGGTGGCTGGAGTTTAGTTTTGGCTTTTTGCATTTTATGTAATGCCAGTTGTAAGCTGTGATCTGATCTAAGCCAGTTTGTTTTTGCATAAGTGTGAGCCAACTGTATATACAAAGAAAAAGATACAGTTGGCTGTATCTTTTTCTTTGATCAACACCAGTTATGCAAAAACAAACTGGCTTAGGTCATAAAATTAGTGATATTTTACCACTATTTTTTGGGGGTTGATAATAGTAACCACCAAAAATTTTAAGGTAGACATATCTTTATGCCGGTATCAGGTTACATTGACAGCAAGTCCAACTCTTAAGATCAATTTCTCTATACACACAGGTTTTATATATAAGAACTTATTAGCAAGCAGTCACAAAAATCATTAATATCAACTGTTTTGTAAAGTTGATGGAACCTTATACTGTCCTATTAGCTGTCACCACGACATTTATTATGTACTTATAAAAACTAAAAATTTAAAAGTTAGTTGCAGAAAAAATAGTTCTTAGCAGAAATTTAAAACAAATGATATGGAGGGGTAAGTCTTATTTACTGATATTTATTTAAACATTCCACTGTCCAAAAAGAATTTAAACTGACTTATAGGGAAGAATAAAGATACATATGAAATAGTTCACAAAATAAGGATGAAGAGGAAAATTATAAAAGAAAAAGGGTGGAAATAAATATGCCAACCATAAAACTCCTAAAAAGATTCCCAATTCAGATTTTTTTCCCCTGAGCACCATATTCACATATCCTGTTGCCTATTGGATTTGAATTATGATATCTGTACTTTAAGACAGGGTTGAATGTATGTTTGCATTAGTAAATTTAGGTTGCACTGTAAGTATTATCAGTTACCCTAATCAGAAATCCACATCTGAAGTGGGGTCAGCTAGTGCTGTAATCAAGAAGCCCAGCTCCAGCACTATACAGATGTACCATTAGACGTACTTCTGTATCTTTTTCTTTGATCAACACAAGAGCTTTAATTAGCATAATGAATGTTAAAAAAAGAGTTTCACTGATAAAATTAATAGCCCAGAGGATGTTAGAAGAGATCTCAACCATCATTCTCAGCAAACTATCGCAAGGACAAAAAACCAAACACCGCATGTTCTCACTTATAGGTGGGAATTGAACAATGAGAACACATGGACACAGGAAGGGGAACATCACACACAGGGGCCTGTTGTGGGGTGGGGGGAAGGGGGAGGGATAACATTAGGAGATATACCTAATGTTAAATGACGAGTTAATGGGTGCAGCACACCAACATGGCACATGTATACATATGTAACAAACCTGCACGTTGTGCACATGTACCCTAAAACTTAAAGTATAATTAAAAAAAAAAAAGAAATGAGATCTCAATGGAGGAATTAGTGATATTTCACTGGTATTTACTGAATAAAATATGTACTTTGGAGACACTCCTTTCCCTCACAAGACAGACTGTAAGAAGATAGCAAAGTCCATAGTCTCAATCTTTATGGACAATACTTGAGATTTAATGTTTACATAGTCTTCTGTCCAGTCATTGGGATTGAGGACTCTAGATACCTAATGCATTTGCCACAGGTGAACTTTTTTTTTTTTTTTTTTTTTGTCTTGAGACGGAGTCTTGCTCTGTTGCCAGGCTGGAGTGCAGTATGTGATCTTGGCTCATTGCAACCTCCACCTCTGGGATTCAAGCAATTCTCCTGCCTCAGCCTCTTGAGTAGCTGGAACTACAGGCGCACACCACTACGCCCAGCTAATTTTTGTATTTTTAGTAGAGATGGAGTTTCATCATGTTGGCCAGTATGCTTTCCATCTCTTGACCTCATGATCCGCCCACCTTGGCCTCCCAAAGTCCTCAGATTACAGGCGTCAGCCGCTGCGCCTGGCTAGGTGAACTTTTTATGACAGTGTCTGTCTAGAACCATGGCACCTACTGGTGTCTCCCTGCTTACCTGACCTCTCTGGGATGCACTTCTTTTTTAAATTTTAATTTTTATGGGTATAAGTAGATGTATATATTTATGGGGTACATGAGATATTTTGATACAGGCATACAGTGTATAATCACATCAGGGTAAATGGGGTATCCATCACCTCAAGTATTTATTATTTCTTTGTGTTACAAACATTCCAATTATACTCTTTTAGTTATTTTAAAAGTACAATAAATTACTGTTGACTGTGGTCACCCTTTTGTGCTATCAAATACTAGATCTTATTCATTCTATCTAACTATATTTTTGTCCCAGTTAATCATCCCCACTTCTCTCCCCACCCGCCACCCGCCACACTTCCCAGCCTCTGATAAACCATTCTTCTACTCTTTGTCTCCATGAATTCAATCGTTTTAATTTTTAGCTTACACATAGGAATAAGAACATGTGAAGTTTGGCTTATTTCACTTAACACATGTCCTCCAGTTCCATCCATGTTGTTGCAAATGATAGGATCTCATTCTTTTTTAAGGCTGAATAGTACTCCTGTCTATATATACTACATTACGTTTTCTTTACCCATTTGTTTGCTGATGGACACTTAGGTTGCTTCCAACTCTTGGCTATTGTGAATAGTGCTGCAGTACTATTCACAAACATGGGAATACAGATACCTGTTTGATATACTGATGCCCTTTCTTTTCGGTATATATCTACCAGTGGGATTGCTGGAAAATATGGTAGTTCTGTTTTTGGTTGTTTGAGGAACCTCCATACTGTTCTCCAGGGTGGCTGAACTTATTTACATTCCCACCAGCAGGGTAAGAGGATTTCCTTTTTTCCACAACCTTGTTTGTGTTCATTGGTCCCTATCTTTTGGATAAAAGACATTTTAATTGGGGTGAGATGATATCTCCTTATAGTTTTGATTTGCATTTGTCTGATGATCAATGATTCTATGACTAACTTGTAAGACTATGTGCGGAGTATTTATTGTCCCTTCTATTTTCTTTTTATTTATTTATTTATATATACATTAAGTTCTGGGATACATGTGCAGGACGTGCAGGTTTGTTACATAGGTATCCACATGCCATGGTGGTTTGCTGCACCCAAAACCTGTCATCTACATTAGGTATTCCTCCTAATGCTATCCCTCTCCTAGCCCTCCACCCCTCCATAGGCCCTGGTGTGTGATGTTCCCCTCCCTGTGTCCATGTGTTCTCATTGTTCAACTCCCACATATGAGTGAGAACATGCGGTGTTTGGTTTTTTGTCCTTGCGATGGTTTGCTGAGAATGATGGTTTCCAGCTTCATCCATGTCCCTGAAAAGGACATGAACTCATCCTTTTTTTATGGCTGGATAGTATTCCATGGTGTAGATGTGCCACATTTTCTTTATCCAGTCTATCATCCAGATGGACATTTGGGTTGGTTCCAAGTCTTTGCTATTGTGAATAATGCTGCAATAAATATATGTGTGCATGTGTCTTTACAGTAGAATGATTTATACTCCTTTGGGTATATACCCAGTAATGGGATTGTTGGGTCAAATGGTATTTCTAGTTCTAGATCCTTGAGGAATTGCCACACTGTCTTCCACAACGGTTGAACTAATTTACACTCTCACCAATAGTGTAGAAGTGTTCTATTTCTCCACATCCTCTCCAGCATCTGTTGTTTCCTGGCTTTTTAATGATCCCCATTCTAACTGGAATGAAATGGTATTTCATTGTAGTTTTGATTTGCATTACTCTAATGACCAGTGATGATGAACTTTTTTTCATATGTTTGTTGGCCTCATAAATGTCTTCTTTTGAGAAGTGTCTGTTCATATCCTTCACGCACTTTTTGATGGCATTGTTTGCTTTTTTCTTGTAAATTTGTTTAAGTTCCTTGTAGATTCTGGATATTAGCCCTTTGTCAGATGGATAGATTGCAAAATTTTTCTTCCATCTGTAGATAGCCTGTACAATCTGATAATAGTTCCTTTTGTTGTGCAGAAGCTCTTTAGTTTAACGAGATCCCATTTGTCAATTTTGGCTTTTGTTGCCATTGCTTTTGGTGTTTTAGTCATGAAGTCTTTGCCCATGCCTTAATTTCCCTTCAGGAAATTCCTAGGAGTAGAATGGCTGGGTTGTATTTTAGGTGTATGTTTAAGAAAGTGACAAACTATTTTCCAAAGTGGTTGTGCCATTGTACATTCCCATGAGCAGTATATGGGAGTTCCAGTTGCTCCTCATTTTCTCCAACACTTGGTATGGTAAGTCTTAAATTTTTGCCATTCTAGTGTGTATGTATTGATATCTTCATGTGATTTTAATCTGATTGTGGTATCTTGTCAGATACCACTTCACAGGGAAGCAGTTGTCAGCTAAGGAGCTGGCTTAGGGATAAGAGCTTGTGGAATTTGAGTGCTTGTGGAATTTGAGTGGAATAGAGTGCTAACTCTAGCATGTTATCATATACACATGAAATCAATAGCTGATATAGTGCAATGACCCTAAATGATGAACTGATGTCTTTTACCATCAGTACCAGTGACCCTTCATAAAATATGTGCATCTTGTTCCTATATCCTTAGGTCTGCCACATTAGGAGTCTGATTCCAAGGTCTGATTCAGGGCTGGGAACAGTTTTGCAATAGACATGGTGTGTATTCCATTAAATTTTGCAGAACCACCATATGAGTCCCTTTGCCAGTAGAGCAAGAGCAGTAACAGTGCAAAAGGCCTAGTGGAAACTTCTGAAACTGTCCCCTTTCTCCCTGGCTAAGCTAATACACAAAAAAGAATCTCACATCTTGACCATCAGGGAAGAAATTAATACCACTCTTAAAAACCTAAAGAATAAAGGAGTGGTAGCCCCATCACACCTTTTTTTTTTTTTTTTGAGACAGTCTCAGTCTGTTGCCCAGGCTGGAGTGCAGTGGCATGATATTGGCTCACTGCAAACGCTGCCACCTGGGTTCAAGCAATCTCCCGCCTCAGCGTCCCAAGTAGCTGGGATTATAGGCGTGTGCCACCAACCCTGGCTAATTTTTTGTGTTTTTAGTAGATAAGGGGTTTTGCTATGTTGGCCAGGCTGGTCTCAAACCCTTGTTCTCAAGTGATCCACCTGCCTTGGCTTCCTAAAGTGCTGGGATTACAGGCATGAGCCACCACGCCCAGCCAGCCCCATCATATCTTATTTAATTCACTGGTTTGACCCCTACCAAAACCAAATGGATCTTAGTAGATAGCAACAGACAAACCACCACACACTTAACCCAGTAGTATTTCCTTTGCAGCTGCTATGCCAGATATAGTACTTTAAAAAAATTGTACAAATATATGGGGTACATATGAGAATTTATTACATGTATATAATGCTTAGTGATCAAGTCAGGGTATTTAGGGTATTCAGCGCTCTAGTACAATATATTTTTGTTAAGTATAGTCGCTCTAGTCTGCTATCAAACATTGAATTTATTCTTCTATTTTACTGTATGTTTGTACACTTTAAGCCACTTCTCTTCATCCTCCTCCCTACCCCCGACCTTATCCTTCCTGGTCTCTGTTATCTATCTTTCTATTCTCTACCTCCATGTGATCAAATTTTTTTTACCTCCCACATGTAAGTGGGAACATGTGATATTTGTCTTTCTGTGCCTAGCTTATTTCACTTAAGATTAGTGGCCATTAGTATATCTTCTTTTGAGAAATGTCTGTTCATGTCTTTGCTCAGTTTTTAATGGGATTATTTGTGGTTTTTTTTTCCCGTTGAGTTGAGTTCCTTGTATATTCTGGATATTAGTCAGATGAATAGTTTGCAAATAGTTTCTCCCATTCAATAGATTGTCTCTTCACTCTGTTGATTATGTCTTTGCTGTGCAGAAGCTTCTTAGTTTCATTAAGTTCCATTTTTTCTGTTTTTGTTTTTGTTGCATGTGCTTTTGAGGCCTTAGTCATAAATTCTTTGCCCAGACCAATGTCCAAGAGTGTTTTCCCTAGGTTTTCTTTTAGTATTTTTGTAGTTTCAGGTCATACATTTAAGTCTTTAATCCATTTTGAGTTGATTTTTGTATATGGCGAGACAGAGGGGTCTAGTTTCATTCTTCTGCATGTGGCTACCTAATTTTCCCAGGACTATTTATTGAATAGCATATTCTTTCCCCAGTGGAAGTCTTTGTTGGCTTTGTCAAAGATCAGCTGGCTGTAAGTATGTGGCTTTATTTCTGGGTTCTGTATTCTGTTCTATTGGCCTATGTGTCCATTTTTATACCAATATTGTATTATATTGCTTACTATAGCCTTGTAATGTATTTTGAGGTCAGGTACTGTGATGCCTCCAGCTTTGTTCTTTAAGCTCAGGATTGCTTTGGCTATTCAGGCTCTTTTTGGTTCCTCATAAATTTTAGGATCGTTTTTCTAATTCTATGAAGAATGATATTGGTATTTTGATAGGGATTGCATTGAATTTGTAGATTTCTTTGGGCAATATGGTCATTTTAAACACTATTAATTCTTGCAATGTATGAGCATGGAATGTTTTTCCATTTGTTTGTGTCATCTATGATTGCTTTCATCAGTGTTTTGTAGTTTTTCATGTAGAAATGTTTCACCTCCTTGGTTAAATATATTCCTAGGTATTATTTTTTTGTAGCTAATATAACTGTCATTGCCTGATTTCCCTCTCGTGAGATCATTGTTGGTGTATAGAAACACTACTGATTTTTGTACATTGGTTTTGTATTCTGAAACCTTACTGAATTCACTTCTCAAATCTAAGAGTTTTTTTTTTTTTTTTCCTGGAGTCTGTTCAAGTTTGGTAACCATGTTGCTCAAAGCTTCTGTATCTTTACTTTTTTTTTTTTGTCTAATTGTTCTATTAGTTACTAAGAAAGCATGTTAAACGTTCTCATTGTTTGTGGATTTGTTTGTTTCTATGTTTAGCTCTGTCAAATTTTGTTCTGATACATTAAGGCCATATAATTGGGAACAGAAATTTAGAACTGTTACAACTCCTAGGTAATTAAAACTTTTATCATTATAATTTTGTTTCCTGCCTTTTGTTTTTTTGTCTTAAAATCTACTTTATCTGATATTAATATGGCCACACTGTTTTTTTTAAAATTTTTTTTATTTCCGTGGGTTTTTGGGGAACAGATGGTGTTTGGTTACATGAGTAAGTTCTTTAATGGTGATTTGTGAGATTTCAGTGCACCTATCACATGAGTAGTATACACTGAACCCAATTTATAGTCTTTTATTCCTCACCCCCTTCCCACCCTTTCCCCCGGTATCCCCAAAGTCCATTGTATCATCCTTATGCCTCTGTATCATCATAGCTTAGCTCCCACTTATGAGTGAGAATATATGATGTTTGGTTTTCCATTCCTGAGTTACTTCACTTAGAATAATAGTCTCCAGTCCCATCCAGGTTGCTGCAAATGCCAGTGATTCATTCCCTTTTATGGCTGAGTAGTATTGCATCATATATATATATTCCATCATATGTGTATATATATATATATACTCTATCTATCTATCTATCTATCTATCTATCTATCTATACCACAGTTTCCTTATCCATTCATTGATTGATGGGCATTTTGTTGGTTCCACATTTTTGCAATTTCGAATTGTGTTGCTATAAACATGTGTGTGCATGTATCTTTTTCATATAATGACTTCTGTTCCTCTGTGTAGATACCTAGTAGTGGGACTGCTGGATCAAATGGTAGGTCTGCTTTTAGTGCTTTAAGGAATCTCCACACTGTTTTCCATGGTGGTTGTACTAGTTTACATCTCCAGCAGTGTAGAAGTGTTCCCTCTTTACTGCATCCATGCCAACATCTGCTAGTTTTGATTTTTTAATTGTGGCCATTCTCATGGAAGTAAGGTGGTATCACATTGCAGTTTTGATTTGCATTTTCCTGATTATTAGTGATGTTGAGCATTTTTTCATATGTTGGCCATTTGTACATCTTCTTTTGAGAATTGTCTATTCGTGTCCTTAGCCCATTTTTTGATGGGCTATTTTTTTTCTTGCCAATTTGTTTGAGTTCATTGTAGATTCCAGATATTAGTTCTTTGTCAGATGTTTAGATTGTGGAGATGTTCTTCCACTCTGTGGGTTGTCTGTTTACTCTGGTGACTGTTCCTTTTGCCAAGCAAAAGCTCTTTAGTTTAATATAGTCTCACCTATTTGTCTTTGTTTTTATTGCATTTGCTTTTGGGTTCTTGGTCATGAACTCTGCCTGAGCCAATGTCTAGAAGGGTTTTTCCAATGCTATCTTCTAGAAATTTTATAGTTTCAGATCGTAGATTTAAGTCCTTGATCCATCTTGAGTTCATTTTTGTATAAGGTGAAAGATGAGGATCCAGTTTCCTTCTACATGCGGCTTGCCAATTATCCCAGCACCTTGTGTTGAATAGGGTATCCTTTCCTCACTTTGTTTTTGTTTGCTTTGTTGAAGATCAGTTGGCTGTAAGTATATGGCTTTATTTCTGGGTTCTCTATTCTGTGCTATTGGTCTATGTGCCTATTTTAATACTAGTACCATGCTGTTTTGGTGACTATAGCCTTACAGTATAGTTTACAATCAGGTAATGTGATGCTTCCAGATTTGTTCCTTTTACTTAGTCTGCTTTGGCTATATAAGCTCTTTTTAGGTTCCATATAAATTTTAGGATTGTTTTTTCTAGTTCTGTGGGGAATGATTGTGGTATTTTGATGGAAATTGCATTGAATCTGTAGATTGCTTTTGGTAGTAGGTCATTTTCACAATATTGATTCTACCCATCCATGAGCATGAGATGGTGTTTCCATTTGTGTCATCTATGATTTCTTTCAACAGTGCTTTGTAGTTTTCCTTGTAGAGGTCTTTCATCTCCTTGGTTAGATATATTCCCAACATATATTTTTTTGCAGCTATTATAAAAGAGGTTGCATTCTTGATTTGATTCTCAGCTTGGTTGCTGTTGGTGTATAGGAGAGCTACTGATTTGTGTACATTAATTTCGTATCCTGAAACTTTGCTGAATTCATTTATCAGTTCTAGGAGCTTTTTGGAAGAGTCTTTAGGGTTTCCTAGGGATACAATCGTATCATCAGCAAACAGCAACAGTTTGACTTCCTCTTTAACAATTTGGATGCCCTTTATTTCTTTCTTTTTTTCTGATTGCTCTGGCTGGGACTTCTAGTACTATGTTGAATAGAAGTGGTGAGAATGGGCATCCTTGTCTTGTTCCAGTTCTCAGAGGGCATGCTTTCAGCTTTTCCCCATTCAGTATTGTGTTGGCTGTGGGTTTGTCATAAATGGCTTTTATTACATTGAGGTATGTCCCTTGTATGCTGATTTTGCTGAGGATTTTAATCATGAAGGGATGTTGGATTTTATCAAATGCTTTTTCTGCATCTATTGAGATCATTTGATTTTTGTTTTTAATTCTGTTTATGTGGTGTTTCACATTTATTGACTTGCACATGTTAAACCATTTCTGCATCCCTGGTATGAAACCCACTTGATCATGGTGGATCATCTTTTTGATATGTTGTTGGATTCAGTTAGCTAGTATTTTGTTAAGGATTTTTGCTTCTATGTTCATCAGGAATATTACTCTGTAGTTTTCTTTTTTGGTTATGTCCTTTCCAGGTTTTGGTATTAGGGTGATACTGGCTTCATAGAATGATTTAGGGAGGATTCCCTCTTTCTCTATCTTGTGGAATAGTGTCAATAGGATTGGTACCAATTCTTCTTTGAGTGTTTTGCAGAATTCAGCTGTGAATCCATCTGGTCCTGGATTTTTTTTTTTTTTTGGTTGGTAATTTTTAAGTTACAATTTCAAACTCACTGCTTGTTACTGGTCTGTTTATGGTATATATTTCTTCCTGATTTGAGCTAGGAGGGTTGTATATTTTCAGAAATTTATTCATCTCCTCTAGGTTTTCTAGTTCACGCATGTAAAGGTGTTTGTAGTAGCCTCCGATGATCTTTTGTATTTCTGTGTTGTTGGTTGTAGTATCTCCCATTCTGTTTCTAATTGAGCTTATTTGGATTTTCTCTTCTTTTCTTGGTTAATCTTGCTAATGGTCTATCCATTTTACATATCTTTTCAAAGAATCAGCTTTCAGCTTTTTATTTCATTTATCTTTTGTGTATATTTTTTGTTTCAATTTCATTTAGTTCTGCCCTGATCTTTGTTATTTCCTTATCTCTGCTGGGTTTGGGTTCGGTTTGTTCTTGTTTCTCTAGTTCTTTGAGGTGTGACTTTAGATTATCTGTTTGTGCTCTTTCAGGCTTTTTGATGTAGGCATTTAGGGCTATGAACTTTCCTCTTTGAACCACCGCCTTTGCTATATCCTGGAGGTTTTTAAAAATATATATATATATTTATTAATTATTATTATCATTATTATTTTAATTGTACTTTAAGTTCTAGGGTACATGTGTACAACGTGCAGGTTGTTACATATGTATACATGTGCCATGTTGGTGTGCTGCACCCATTAACTCGACATTTACATTAGTTATATCTCCTGACGCTATCCCTCCCCCCCACCCCCACCACACAACAGGCCCCAGTGTGTGATGTTCCTCTTCCTGTGTCCAAGTGTTCTCATTGTTCAATTCCCACCTATGAGTGAGAACATGCAGTGTTTGGTTTTTTGTCCTTGTGATAGTTTGCTGAGAAAGATGGTTTCCAGCTTCATCCATGTCCCTGAAAAGGACATGAACTCATCGTTTTTTATGGCTGCATAGTATTCCATGGTGTACATGTGCCACATTTTCTTAATCCAGTCTATCATTGTTGGACATTTGGGTTGGTTCCAAGTCTTTGCTATTGTGAATAATGCCACAATAAACATACATGTGCATGTGTCTTTATAGTAGCATGATTTATAATCCTTTGGGTATATACCCAGTAATGGGATGGCTGGGTCAAATGGTATTTCTAGTTCTAGATCCTTGAGGAATCCCCACACTGTCTTCCACAATGGCTGAACTAGTTTACAGTCCCACCAGCAGTGTAAAAGTGTTGCTATTTCTCCACATCCTCTCCAGCACCTGTTGTTTCCTTTTTAATGATCGCCATTCTAACTGGTGTGAGATGGTATCTCATTTGGTTTTGATTTGCATTTCTCTGATGGCCAGTGATGATGAGCATTTTTTCATCTGTCTGTTGGCTGCATAAATGTCTTCTTTTGAGAAGTGTCTGTTCATGTCCTTTGCCCACTTTTTGATGGGGTTGTTTGATTTTTTCTTGTAAATTTGTTTGAGTTCTTTGTAGATTCTGGATATTAGCCCTTTGTCAGATGAGTAGATTGCAAAAATTTTCTCCCATTCTGTAGGTTGCCTGTTCACTCTGATGGTAGTTTCTTTTGCTGTGCAGAAGCTCTTCAGTTTAGTGAGATCCCATTTGTCAATTTTGGCTTTTGTTGCCATTGCTTTTGGTGTTTTAGACATGAAGTCCTTGCCCATGCCTATGTCCTGAATGGTATTGTCTAGGTTTTCTTCTAGGGTTTTTATTGTTTTAGGTCTAACATTTAAGACTTTAATCCATCTTGAATTAATTTTTGTATAAGGTGTAAGGAAGGGATCCAGTTTCAGCTTTCTACATATGGCTAGCCAGTTTTCCCAGCACCATTTATTAAATAAGGAATCCTTTCCCCATTTCTTGTTTTTGTCAGGTTTGTCAAAGATCAGATGGTTGTAGATGTGTGGTATTATTTCTGAGGGCTCTGTTCTGTTCCATTGGTCTATATCTCTGTTTTGGTACCAGTACCGTGCTGTTTTGGTTACTGTAGCCTTGTAGTATAGTTTGAAGTCAGGTAGTGTGATTGTTCCAGCTTTGTTCTTTTTGCTTAGGATTATCTTGGCTGTGTCACTGTTATTATTCAATTGAAAGAATTTTTAAATTTCCAATCTTGATTTCATTGTTGACCCAATGATTATTCAGGAGCAGGTTACTTAATTTCTATGTATTTGCATGTTCTTGAAGGTTCCTTTTAGAGTTGATTTGCAGTTTTATTCCACTGTGGTCTGAGAGAGTACTTGGTGTAATTTCAACTTGTTGAGACTTGTTTTGTGGCCTATCATATGGTCTATCTTGGAGAAACTTCCACGTGCTGTTGAATAGAATGTATATTCTGCATTGGTTGGTTAGAATGTTCTGTAAACATCTGTTAAGTCCATTTGTTCCAGGATATAGTTTAAATCCATTGTTTCTTTGTTAACTTTTTGTCTTGATGACCTGTGTAGTGCTGTCAGTGGAATATCAAAGTCCCCCACTATTATCATGTTGCTGTCTATCTCATTTGTTAGGTCTAGTAGTAATTGTTTTATAAATTTGGGAGCTCCAGCGTTATGTGCATATGTATTTAGGACTGTGATATTTACATGTTGGACAACACCTTTTATCATTATATAATGTCCCTCTTTGGCTTTTTTAACTGCTGTTGCTTTAAACAGCAGTTAAAGCTGTTGTTTTGTCTGATGTAAGAATAGCTACTCCTGGTCACTTTTGGTGTCCATTTGCATGGAATGTCTTTTTCTACCCCTTTACCTTAAGTTTTTGTGAGTCCTTATGTGTTAGGTGAGTCTCTTGAAGACAACAGATTGTTGGTTGGTGAATTCTTATCCATTCTGCCATTCTGTATCTTTTAAGTGGAGCATTCAGGTTATTTACATTCAATGTTGGTATTGAGATGTGACATACTATTCTATTCATCATGCTAGTTTTTGCCTGAATACCTTGGGTTTTTTTTTCATTGTGTTATCGTTTTATAGGCCCTGTGAGATTTATGCTTTAAGGAGGTTCTATTTTGGTGTATTTTGAGGGTTTGTTTCAAGATTTAGAACTCCTTTTAGCAGTTCTTGTACTACTGACTTGGTAGTGGCAAATCCTCTCAGCATTTGTTTGTCTGAAAAAGACTGTATCTTTCCTTCATTTATGAAGTTTAGTTTCACTGGATACAAATTCTTGGCAGATAATTCTTTTGTTTATAAAGGCTAATGAAAAAATCCCAATCCCTTCTAGCTTGTATGGTTTCTGCTGAAAAATCTGCTATTAATCTGATAGGTTTTTCCTTTATATGTTACCTGATGCTTTTGCCTTACAGCTCTTAAGAGTCTTTCCTTTGTCTGGCTTTAGATAACCTGATGACTATGTGCCCAGGTAGTCATTTTTTGCAATGAATTTCCCAGGTGTTCTTTACGCTTCTTGTATTTGGATGTCTAGATCTCTAGCAGGGCCAGGGAAGTTTTCCTTGATTATTCCTCAAATAAGTTTTCCAAACTTTTAGATCTCTTCTTTGGGAATAGCAGTTATTCTTAGGTTTGGTCATTTAACATAATCCCAACCTTTGTGGAGGGTTTGTTCCTCCACAACCTTTTTTTTTTTTTTTTTGAGACAGAGGTTGCTCTGTCACTGAGGCTGGAGTGTGCAGTGGCATGATCTCCGCTCACTGCAACTTCTGCCCCTTGGGTACAAGCAATTCTTGTCCTCAGCCTCCTGAGTAGCTGGTATTATAGGCATGTGCCACTATGCCCAGCTAATTTTTTGTATTTTTAGTAGAGACAGTGTTTCTCTATCTTGGCCAGGCTGGTCTTGAACTCTTAGCCTCAAGTGATCCACCTGCCTTAGCTTCCCAAAGTCCTAGAATCACAGGCATGAACCAACACACCCAGCCTGCTCTTTTTTTTTTGTATTTTAATTTTCTTTAATTTTTTTATTATTATACTTTAAGTTTTGGGATACATGTGCAGAACGTGCAGGTCTGTTACATAGGTATACATGTGCCATGGTGGTTTGCTGCACCCACCAACCCGTCATCTAGGTTTTAAGCTCCGTATGCATTAGGTATTTCTCCTAATGCTATCTCTCCCCTTGCCACCACCCCCTGACTAGCCCCATTGTGTAATGTTCCTCTCCCTGTGTCAATGTGTTCTCATTGTTCAACTCCCATTTATGAGTGAGAACATGTGGTGTTTGGTTTTCTGTTCCTGTGTTGGTTTGCTGTTTGCTGAGAATCATGGTTTCCAGCTTCATGTCCCTGCAAAGGACATAAATTCATCATTTTTTATGGCTGCATAGTTTTCCATGGTGTATATGTGCCACATTTTCTTCATTCAGTCTATCATTGATGGGCATTTGGGTTGGTTCCAAGTCTTTGCTATTGTAAATGGTGCTGCTATAAACATATGTATACATGTGTCTTTACAGTAGAATGATTTATAATCCTTTGGATATATACCCAGTAATGGGATTGCTGGGTCAAATGGTATTTCTGGTTCTAGATCCTTGAGGAATTGTCGCATTGTCTGCTGCAATGGTTAAACTAATTTACACTCCCACCAACGGTGTAAAAGTGTTCCTATTTCTCCACCTTCTCCCAGCATCTGTTGTTTCCTGACTTTTTAATGATCGCCATTTTAACTGGTGTGAGATGGTATCTCATTGTAGTTTTGATTTGCATTTCTCTAATGTCCACTAATGATGAGCTTTTTTTATATGTTTATTGGCTGGATAAATGTCTTCTTTTGAGAAGTGTCTGTTCATATCCTTTGCCCAATTTTTGATGGGGTTGTTAGCTTTTTTCTTGTAAATTTGTTTAAGTTCCTTGTAGATTCTGGATGTTAGTCCTTTGTCAGATGGATAGATTGTGAAATTTTTCTCCCATCCTGTATGTTGCCTGTATACTCTGATGATAGTTTCTTTTGCTGTGCAGAAGCTCTTTAGTTTAATCAGATCCCATTTGTCAATTTTGGCTTTTGTTGCCATTGCTTTTGATGTTTTAGTCATGAAGTCTTTGCCCATGCCTATGTCCTGAATGGTATTGCCTAGGTTTTCTTCTAGGATTTTTTATGGTTGTAGGTCTTACGTTTAAGTCTTTAATCCATCTTGAGTTAATTTTTGTATAAAATGAAAGGATGGGGTCTAGTTTCAGTTTTCTGCATATGGCTAGCCAGTTTTCCCAGCACCATTTATTAAATAGGGAAGCCTTTCTTGATTGCTTGTGTCAGGTTTGTCAAAGATCAGATGGTTGTAGATGTGTGGTGGTATTTCTAAAGCCTCTGTTCTGTTCCATTGATCTATATATCTGTTTTGGTACCAGTATCATGCTGTATTGGTTACTGTAGCCTTGCAGTATAGTTTGAAGTCTGGTAGTGTGATGGTTCCAGCTTTGTTCTTTTTGCTTAGGATTATCTTGGCTATACAGGCTTCTTTTTGATTCCATATGAAATTTAAAGTAGTTTTTCTAATTCTGTGAAAAAAGTCAGTGGTAGCTTGATGGGGATAGCATTGAATCTATAAATTACTTTGGGCAGTATGGCCATTTTCATGATATTGATTCCTTCTATTCATGAGCATGGAATGTTTTTCCATTTGTTTGTGTCCTCTCTTATTTCTTTGAGCAGTGCTTTGTAGTTCTCCTTGAAGAGGTCTTTCACATCCCTTGTAAGTTGTATTCCTAGGTATTTTACTCTCTTAGTAGCAATTGTGAATGGGAGTTCACTCATGATTTGGCTCTCTGATAGTCTGTTATTGGTGTATAAGAATGCTTGTGATTTTTGCACATTGATTTTGTGTCCTGAGACTTTGCTGAAGTTGCTTATCAGCTTAAGGAGTTTTTGGGCTGAGACGATGGGGTTTTCTAAATATGCAGTCATGTCACCTGCAAAGAGAGACCATTTGACTTCCTTTCTTTCTATTTGAATACCCTTTATTTCTTTCTCTTGTCTGATTGCCCTTGCCAGAACTTCCAATACAATGTTGAATAGGAGTGGTGAGAGAGGGCATCCTTGTCTTGTGCCAGTTTTCAAAGGGAATGCTTCCAGCTTTTGCCCATTCAGTATGATATTGGCTATGGGTTTGTCATAAATAGCTCTAATTATTTTGAGATATGTTCCATTGATACCTAGTTTATTGAATGTTTTTATCATGAAGGGGTGTTGAATTTTATCAAGGGCCTTTTCTGCATCTATTGAAATAATCATGTGTTTTTTGTCACTGGTTCTGTTTATGTGATGGATTACATTTATTGATATGCATGTGTTGAACCAGCCTGGCATCCCAGGGATGAAGCTGACTTGATCGTAGTAGTTAAGCTTTTTGATGTACTGCTGGATTTGATTTGCCAGTATTTTATTGAGGATTTTCACAATGATGTTCATCAGGGATATTGGCCTGAAATTTTCTTTCTTTGTTTTGCCTCTGCCAGGTTTTGGTATCAGGATGATGCTGGCTTCATAAAGTGAGTTGGGGAGGAGTCCCTCTTTTTCTATTGTTTGGAATAGTTTCAGAAGAAATGATACCAGCTCCTCTTTATACCTCTAGTAGAATTTGGCTGTGAATCCGTCTGGTCCTGGGCTTTTTTTGTTGGTAGGCTATTTATTACTGCCTCAATTTTAGAACTTGTTATTGGTCTATTCAGGGATTTGACTTCTTCCTGGTTTAGTCTTTGGATGGTGTATGTGTACAGGAATTTATCCATTTCTTCTAGATTGTCTAGTTTATTTGCATAGAGGTGTTTATAGTATTCTCTGATGGTAGTTTGTATTTCTGTGGGATCAGTGGTGATATCCCCTTTATCATTTCTTATTGTGTCTATTGGATTCTTCTCTCTTTTCTTCTTTATTAGTCTGGCTAGCGGTCTATTTTGTTAATCTTTTAAAAAAATCAGCTCCTGGATTCATTGATTTATTGAAGGGTCTTTCTTATCTCTATCTCCTTCAGTTCTGTTCTGACCTTAGTTATTTCTTGTCTTCTGCTAGCTTTTGAATTTGTTTGCTCTTGCTTCTCTAATTCTTTTTATTGTGATGTTAGGGTGTCGATTTTAGATCATTCCCACTTTCTCCTATGGGCATTTAGTGCTATAAATTTCCCTGTACGCACTGCTTTAGCTGTGTCCCAGAGATTCTGGTAAGTTGTATGTTTGTTCTCATAGGTTTCAAAGAACATCTTTATTTCTGCCTTCATTTCTTTATTTACCCAGTAGACACTTAAGAGCAGTTTGTTCAGTTTCCATGTAGTTGTGCAATTTTGAGTGAGTTTCTTAGTCCTGAGTTCTAATTTGATTGCACAGGGGTCTGAGAGACTGTTTGTTATGATTTCTGTTCTTTTTGCATTTGCTGAGGAGTGTTTTACTTCCAATTATGTGGTCAACTTTAGAATAAGTGCAATGTAGTGCTGAGAAGAACGTACACTCTGTTGATTTGTGGTGGAGAGTTCTGTAGATGTCTATTAGGTCTGCTTGGTCTGGAGCTGATTTCAAGTCCTGAATAACCTTGTTGATTTTCTGTCTCATTAATCTGTCTAATATTGACAGAGGGATGTTAAAGTCTCCCACTACTATTGTGCGGGAGTCTAAGTCTCTTTGTAGGTCTCTAAGAACTTGCTTTATGAATCTGGGTGCTCCTATATTGGGTGCATATATATTTAGGATAGTTACCTCTTCTTGCTGCATTGATCCCTCTACCATTATGTAATGGCCTTCTTTGTCTCTTTTGATCTTTGTTGGTTTAAGGTCTCTTTTATCAGAGACTAGGATTGCAACCCCTGCTTTTTTTTTTTTTGCTTTCCATTTGCTTGGTAAGTATTCCTCCATCCCTTTATTTTGAGCCTATGTGTGTAAAGACACACACATGAGTTGGGTCTCTTGAATACAGCACACCAATGGGTCTTGACTCTTTATCCAGTTTGCCAGTATGTGTCTATTAATGGGGGCATTTAGCCCATTTACATTTACAGTTCATATTGTTATATGTGAATTTGATCCTGTTATCAGGATGGTAGCAGGTTATTTTGCCCATTAATTGATGCAGTTTCTTCATAGCATTGATGTTCTTTACAATTTGGCATGTTTTTGCAGTGGCTGGTACTGGTTTTTCCTTTCCATATTTAATGCTTCCTTCAGGAGCTCTTGTAAGGCAGGTCTGGTGGTAACAAAATCCCTCAGCACTTGCTTGTCTGTAAAGGATTTTATTTCTTCTTCACTTATGAAGCTTAGTTTGGCTGGATATGAAATTCTGGGTTGAAAATTCTTTTTTTTTTTTAAGAATGTTTAATATTGATTCCCACTCTCTTCTGGATTATAGAGTTTCTGCAGAGAGATTCTCTGTTAGTCTGATGGGCTTCCCTTTGTAGGTAACCTGACCTTTCTCTCTGGCTGCCCTTAACATTTTTTCCTTAGTTTTGACTTTGGTGAATCTGATGATTATGTGTCTTGGGGTTGCTCTTCTTGAGGAGAATCTTAGTGGTGTTCTCTGTATATCCTGAATTTGAATGTTGTCCTGTCTTTCTAGGTTGGGGAAGTTCTCCCAGATAATATCCTGAAGTGTGTTTTCCAACTTGGTTCCATTCTCCTCGTCACTTTCAGGTATACCAGTCAATTGTAGGTTTGATCTTTTCACATAGTCCCATATTTATTGGAGGCTTTGATTGTTCCTTTTCATTCTTTTTTCTCTAATCTTGTCTTCATGCTTTATTTCATTAAGTTGATATTCATCTCTGATATTCTTTCTGCCACTTGATCAGTTCAGCTTTTGATACTTGTGTGTGCTTCACGAAGTTCTTGTGCTGTGTTTTTCAGCTCCATCAGGTTATTTATGTTCTTCTCTAAAGTGGTTATTCTAGATAGCAATTTGTCTAACCTTTTTTCAAGGCTCTTAGCTTCCTTGCATTGGGTTAGAACATGCTTCCTTAGCTTGGAGGTGTTCGTTATTACCCACCTTCTGAAGTCTAATTCTTTCATTTCATCAAACTCATTCCCCATCCAGTTTTGTTCCCTTGCTGGCGAGGAGTTGTGATCCTGTTGGAGGAGAAGAGGCATTCTGGTTTTTGGAATTTTCAGCATTTTTGTGCTGGTTTTTCCTCATCTTTATGGATTTATCTACCTTTGATCTTTGATGCTGATTACCTTTTGATGTGGTTTTTGCGTGGGTGTCCTTTTTGTTGATGCAGGAGGCCATTATTCTTAGCAAACTTAGCAAACACAGGAACAGAAAACCAAATACCACATGTTCTCACTTATAAGTAAAAGCTAAATGATGAGAACACATTTCTTTATCTCTAGTTGTTTACTTTTGTCTTCAGTCACATTGTCTTGTCTTCTAATGTTTCTTGGTAATTTTGACTGAGTGCTAAAGATTATGAAAAACTAGAGATAATTTGTGGCTCTAGATGTTATCTCCCTCTCAAGGAAAATTTATATTTGCATTTATGTAGGCTAGATACACTAGCAATCCCAGATCTTCTTAATCAAATCATCATTTGAAATGATAAGAAGTTGAGTTTCAACCTCTGCTGATTTGTTTTTAGTTTATTCTTACACTCATAGTGGGTAGGTCCTCAGGATCTCAACCCAATGCCAGAAGATTTGTCAGCTGCTACCCACTTCCCAGTGGACCCTGAATTCCAGTTTTTGTCATCATAGCCCTGTTAGTCTGTTGAGACCTCTGATGAGCTTCTGAGCCTCTCAGCTGTTTCTCCTGGAACACTGGCAGAGTTCTTCGGTAGACAAGCGGCTCAGATGTCCCGGCTCACTTCTTGGGTTTCCTTATTCTGTATGATGGCTATGCAATTCTTCAATGCTTTACTATCTCTCTGATACCCTCAAACAGATTTTTAAAAATATTTATTCAGTTTTTCAAGTAGTTTTCAACAACATGTTTGGTCTAATCACTGTATGCATTAATGAACACTCTTTCCTATGCCTTTAATTCTCAAAGGACTATATTCTTGGTACTCAAGAATTTCTGGAGTAAACATAATGACTGCTTTAAATTATGATGAGAATATTTATTTAAATATGCTTGAGATTGAATAAAAATATATGCCAATTTATAAAATAATTACTTTTTACAATTGAACTATCTCCTTATGTCACAAGTTCTCTTATTTTAAACTTGCCCCAATTATAGGCAAAATCACCCTGAATTTCTTTCCTTAGTCTTTTTTTTTTTTAAATGGGGCATTTATTTTTGGCACAGTGTGAGTAAATCAAGTCCTTTCCTTAGTCTTTTAGCACATCTGAGATAGGATTTTAAATAAAACAGGGCTTCTGAACCAACTACGTAAGTCAGCTGGGATCAGGAAACTATACTTCATAAGTTTACATCTTTTTAGGTTTCTTATGTCTTTTAATCCAACTTAGAAATTAACTTTTATGGTCTGGGGACAAATGAAGTGGATTTTGGTTTTGTTCACATTTGAGCCAGAATATTAAAGAGGAAATAATATTCTCCTGAATGTCAGAGTGTTGACAACAAGGTGGAATTGGAATAATAGACTCTTTCAGAAAGAGATAGATGAAAGTCAATAAGAAATAAACAAGTTTCCTACAAAACTACTCACCACTCAGAAAATTTTCTCCAAGAGCTTATTTATGCTCCATCATTGTAAATGTTTTGTCACCTTCATGCAGTTTCTCTCATTTAGTAGACAGAGCTCACTGTGGATTATACCATTACTTATCATCATGTATGCCATATTAATATATCATCCCCCTTATTCGTTGCATTGTCCTAGTTAAGCATTGCACCGCAATGTACCACCAAACCAAGGAAAATTGAACTGATTTAGTCATTCTTCCTCCTCCCTTGAACCTAGAACACTTGGGGTTTGACATTTTTTTGGACTGGGAAAATAGTGTAAAATTTATGTAGGAAGCAACAATTCTGCAGAGATATGAGCGAGCCAAAATAAATTTCTTTTCATGTTACATAACTAGACTGAAAATGACTGAGTAAAATGGAGGGAAGTAAAGTGAAATGTTCAAAGTGGGTTTCAATGGAAGAATTTTAATGTCACAGCTTATCACATATGGGTATGTCACCCATAATATTTGGACAGCTATGGTTAGAAAGAAAAACAAGATGATTTCATATTCTATGGGGCAGAAAATGTGCTCACAGTATTTTTTTATTTAGTGAGGTTTGTCGCCTATTTTCTAGAAAATGGTTCTGTATTTAGTGATGTGTATATATGCATAAAATCCTACACATTACTTCTGATTATGTTTGTTACTTACAACTTTTCATATGGGGGTTATTATCATTTTATAGTTTATATATGCACATTATATTAAATATTTCTTTAGTGTCGATGGGAAAATAAATCACTGGGATGAGAAAACACTGGCATTGTTAAGGTATTCATCTGGAATTATTCAACCTTTCACAAACAAATGAGAAAGATTATAGGATCAGACCAAATCCTGGATTTCTTTCCCTCTCTGCCCATCTGTATTCATTATAGTTGAAAGATAGACAAATGAAACTATTGGTAGCTCAGTCTTTAAAGCTTTATTACAATTTAAAAGCTTTGAAAAAGAGAGAAAATGGAAAAATTATCAAAGGCTGGAAATGATCATCATATTAAATAGTTGAATATTCCTGTTTAAAGACAATGAAGAATGAAGATAGGTGGTGTAAAGATATGACTTCCTTATTGGTATTACTCTATACTCTCAATTTCAAAGAGATTGAGCACAGAGCTGTTAAAGGCCTGTGCAGAATGTAGAACTGACAATTAGGCACATAAATGAAATGGGTCAGTGGTTTTCAGTTCTATATAAATTGCACAAGGCAAGCCCACTGCCTTGGCTAAAACCCACATCAGAACCCAAGACTTCTCTGGACTGTTGATCTGACTATTGTTATCCTTCCTGGACCCCAAGAGAGTGGACAGAGAAAAGGACACAGCCAGGTAGCACAAAGCTACCCCAGGAAATGCAAAGGCTATCATTAGTCTTCTCCCCTTTCCCCAGAGCACCCTCCTTTTAATACAAGAATCCAATTTTGTCACAACAGTCCATGGGCACTAGGGGAAGCTGAGCACATCCCTGTTTCCTGGGAATCCCTGAATGGCATCAACATAATTCTGTCTACTGCCACAGTGATTGATTCTGGAATAGACATGTGTCACAATAACAGATGCCTGCTGGGGATCTTGGATAGAGTGGTTTCTTTAAGAGAGGGCCTCCAGGAGAGATGCTTACTCTTCCTCTGGACATGTTTATGATGTTAGGCCTGAAACTACTATGGCCAACTTGAAGAAGACATATGGAAAAAGAAGAAAGAGAAATGAGCCAGAACCCTGACCAGACCATATCTGACCAATGCTGTTAGAGCTGTGAGCTAATAAATTTATTTAATTGTTCATGCCAACTTAAGGGTGATTTACCTCAGCAAAGATTATCTCTCTTGACAGAGAAAGGAGGTCCACTTTAAACCCAAGTGATTCCTTAGCCAGAGGACCACCCACAGGGTCTGTTTCAAGATCCCTTGGACTATTTGATCTAATAAGAGAGCTATAGAGATGCTCTCCTCTGGTCCAGATATATTTTAAAATTTCACCATTTGTAGTCATGCTCTTCAAAGTTCTCTGGTTTATAAGCCTAGAGCACGCCTCCATAGGCCATGCCTGCTAGAATGGATCCTCTGTATGCAATCTGATCTAAATCCTCATGCCTGGGTCCAGAATACCTGCCATGGTCACCTACAGGTTGTGGAATACAAATCAAGTGGTTCTTCTCTCTGGTAGTGCCTCATTTCAACACAATGTCTAAGAAGAAAACCTGTTGGTAGAAGATGCATTCTCACTGATAGACTCCTTCCTGCCTTCTCTAATTTCCCATGCCACTTTTGTTTTTACAAAAATATTAGTCCAGGCACATCATCAGTTTCAGGAAGACCTGTTGAGTCCTTCTCATCTGAAAGTGGAAGCTATTATGATAGAGGCAATTTGCCAGTGGAAAGGCTTGTTAGGTGTGATAATAAAGGTGGCACTTAAATGATCTCTAAGTAGGCCCAGTAAGAATAGCTGGGTTGCACTCCAAGGGTAAAATATCTATAGTGGGGCTATGATATGCTACAAATAAACTTTTACAGTGAGAGATCTGTGATATTTGTGTTGTAGCATATTATAAGCTTGCAATCAGATAGGTATGTGTTTTGTACTTTAATAATATTATCAAGTCAAGATCAGTGGTTTTCATGCTTGGTTGGGAGTTGAGGGTAGAGTAGAACAGAGCATGTGGAAGTCATAATACTTTAGATATGGCACCTTAAAGCATGGATGTATTTAATACCATTCTAAATACTAGACAGATTTCGCAGGTAGAATATCTGACTCTATTATGTATTTAATTCCAGTGGCACTGGGCTTCTTTGTTCTAACAATAGGGCCTTTCTCTGTTCATTGTTCTAGCCACAGAAGTACCAGTCTAACATCTAAAAACAATTGCAAAGCAATTAAAGTTTTTACTATAATCTCTTCGATAATGCCAAATGGAGATGACATTTATAACACACTGCAAAACTTCTAAAAGCCTTCTACCTGTCTATCTTGCTAAAGTCTCATGTATCAGGGTGTGGTAGATGACTCTAATTACTCTTACTCTCCCCAAATTCTTTGGAACTTCAAAAGCAGAACTTACTGGCCTTTCTTTTCTTTTCTTTCTTTTTCTTTCTTTCTTTCTTTTTTTTGAGATGGAGTCTTGCTCTGTCACCAGGCTGAAGTGCAGTGACGCGATCTCAGCTCACTGCTACCTCTGCCTCCTGGGTTCAAGTGATTCTCTTGCCTCAGCCTCCTGAGTAGCTGGGACTACAGGTGCGTGCCACCACGTCCAGCTAATTTTTTTGTATTTTTAGTAGAGACGGGGTTTCACCATGTTGGGCAAGATGATCTCGATCTCTTGACCTGATAATCTGCCTGCCTCAGCCTCCCAAAGTGCTAGGATTATAGGCGTGAGCCACCGCGCCTGGCCTGGCCTTTATTTTCTTGTCCCTACTCTCTTACCTTCTGGATCTATTTTCCTAGAGTAAATTTTGGCCCTTTCCTATACAAATCAGTCAAGCCAATATAGGATTTTCTGATTTCTCACTGTCACCCATTTTTAAGATCTGCATAGTGAGACCCAGGAATTGTGCATATGAGGACATAATTCTCCTTAGCATCACTTAAAAATTGTATTTATTCATTTTTATTTTTTAGCATCACTTTTGATGTGTCCAACATTTGCCTCTCCAACATCTCTTCCCGCCACAGCCCCATTTACATGGCATACTTCTGCCATCAAAGGGTTTTTAAGCAGAGGAGTGACATGATCATACTTGCATTTTAGAAAGGTTGCTCTGACTGCTATTTGAAGAATAAATTGGGATTTTATTGGAGTAGGGAGAAGGAGAAGAGTAGGGAAATCAATTAAGAAACCATAGGGTTGTGCAGAAAAGAGATGTTGATAGTTTGGACCAGGGTGGTACTAGTGTGGCAGCAAAGGAGGTAGATATGAATTGAAAGGTTTGAGATATATTTTGGTAATTTCTGGCTAGGGAGGAAATAGAGCTGGTATCCAGAGTAGGGAATGCAGACAGAAGATCTAGTTTATAGGGTAAAATATTGAGATTGGTTTGGGGCATGTCGAGCATGAGTTCTGTGGGATATCTAGTTGAACTGTTCATTCAGCATTTGACTTAGGTAAGTTTAGGGGTGAGGGCTAGAGATATGGTTTTGGGAGTCATGAAAGCCAGCTTACAGATAGCTTTTGAGCCCATGAATTGTGATGGACCTATCTTGAGAAAGCATACGTACTACTGAGGCTATTTGAGGGCTGACAGCAGAACCCCTGGGAGCACTACCGTCTAACAGGTGAACAAAGGAAACTTGAGGGAAAACCAGGAAAAAACAGGACAGACTCAGAACTCCTGGTTTAGATCAAGGGAAATAGAGTCCTTGGTCTGATCAATAAATAAATTAGACCAATGCAGGTACAGTGCTTACTTCTAAGTGCCAGCCTTTTACAAGGGCAGTGATGACAACTGTGTGTCAGAAGGAAGGCTACTGGATGGTGGGGAATCTGGAACCCATGTCAAAACAGAGTGTTGAATACTTTCATACCAAGATTATATTTATCCTATTTGCTATGCAGGAGAGGGATTTAATTTTGTTTTTTTAGTTTCAGAAGGAATAATAAGGGATTAAGGAAGCACATTTCAATCAATATAAATAATAGTTTTTACCAGCTGTTAAAAAATGGAATAGGTTGACTTGTTTGGAATGAGCACCCTTTAATAGAGGAAGTATTTGGGCAGGACCTGGGTGACCCCCAATGAGGCATGGTGGAGCAGGGATTCCAGTCCTGATTAAGAGATTTAACTATTGAGGTAACTTCTCATTTTAGAAGTCAGTGATTCTGTTAAATTGTTGTCTTTCTATATATACATATTTAATGCATATATTGCAGGCTGCCACACACACAGTGTCCGTGTTTGTGTCAGTCAGTAAGCTTAGGGTGAATAGAAGGAGTGACATTTTATTCTTTGGAGACTCTAAGTGAAAGCGACATGAATCTTCACCATGTTCATATGGGCACTCATGAAATTTTGTTGAGAATTCCTCTGAGAGAGAACGTCTCAGTATTGAGTCAGTTTTGCGGCCTTGAACTGAGACAGTTGACGAGACATCTTATAATAAGAATAAGAGGGCAAGATGCCCTAAGGGCTTCACATACATTTATATCAAAATGCTGTGAAGGAAAATCAATGTTTTGCTTCTGGCAGTGAAAATCCAAACCTCACCAAATTACTAGGGATGAACATTTTATTTTCAAACACTAGAGAGAAGAAAAAAGCCCCCACTAACCTTAGCAAGAGCTTCACTGTGTCTCTGGTTGTAACGTGGTGTGATAGGCTTGGCAATGACCCTATTTTGGAACTATAATTCATTCCTTATTTCATTCAAGTGTTTTTTCCTAAATCGCCTTGGTGAAACCCTTCTTGATCACCCAATGTGAAATCTCACATGATGCAATATTTCATTTCTTCTTTCCCTGAATTACGTTTTTCCTTAATACTTGTCATCTCCAGAAAAAGGATCTCTTCTGCACAGCAAAAGAAACTATCATCAGAGTGAACAGACAACCTACAGAATGAGATAATTTTTTTAAAATTACACTTTAAGTTCTGGGATACATGTGCAGAACATGCAGGTTTGTTATATAGATATACACGTGCCATGGTGGTTCACTGCACCCATCAACCTGTCATCTACATTAGCTATTTGGGAGAAAATTTTTGCAATCTATCCATCTGACAAAGGTCTAATATCCAGAATCTACAAGGAACTTAAACAAATTTACAAGAAAAAAACCCACTAAAAAGTTGGCAAAGGACATGAACAGACATTTCTCAAAAGAAGTCATTTATGCGGCCAAAAAACATGAAAAAAAGCTCAACATCACTGATCATTAGAGAAATGAAAATCAAAACTACAATGAGAGACCATGTCACACCAGTCAGAGTGGCAATTATTAAAAAGTAAAAAAAAAAAAAAACAGATGTGGGCCGGGCACAGTAGCTCACACCTGTAATCCCAGCACTTTGGGAGGTCAAGGTGGGTAGATCATCTGAGGCCAGTAGTTCGAGACCAGCCTGGCGAAACCCCGTCTCTACTAAAATACAATAAATACATAAAAATAAAATAAAATAAAAATTAGCCGGGTCTGGTGGTGGGTGCCTGTAATCACAGCTACTAGGGAGGCTGAGGCAGGAGAATTGCTTGAACCCAGGAGGCGGAGGTTGCTGTGAGCTGAGATCATGCCACTGCACTCCAGCCTGGGCAACAGAGTGAGTGAGACTTCATCTCAAAACAAAAAACAAAAAACAAACAAACAAAAAACCCAGATGCTGGTGAGGTTGTGAAGAAAAAGGACTGCTTTTACATTGTTGGTGGGAATCTAAATTAGTTCAGCCACTGTGGAAGACAGTGTGACCTATCTTCCACACACTGGGTCATGTGGTGGAGGGGCATGGGGAAGGGTGGCATCAGGAAAAATATTATAGCTAATGCATGCTGGGCTTAATACCTAGGTGATGGGTTGATAGGTGCAGCAAACCACCGTGGCAAACGTTTACCTACGTAACAAACCAGCACATCCTGCACATGTATTCCTGAACTTAAAATAAAATAAGATAAAATAAAATTCAAAGAAGGATCTCTTCACAAAGATTTGAGTGCAAGTGGTATTTGGGATATGATTGCAGGAAGCCCAGTAGGGGAATGGGAGGGTGAGACAGGGGAAGGAAGGAAGCCAATTCAGGGTGGAAGGAAGCAGGTTACTGGACAGCTGGGATTCAGTCCTGCTGGGGATCTCTGGGAGCCTGCACAGTATGTCTTGGAGTTGCTACATGTGAGGCAAAAGGAAGCTGGGGCATTTATCTACCCACTGTCATCACTCTGTGGTCAATGGCTGCTATGTGGGGGATAGGAGCTTTAAGTTCCCAGCTCTTCCAGTCTCTGTGCTTGGACATGTATCCTCCAGCTGTCAGAGAAAGCCCCCTGCTTTATTTTGTAGTAGGAACCTGGGGGTCAGAGTGGATGGGAATGGGGAGTCTCAAGGGAATTTGAGAAGGGCACTGATAGTATCTGCTAGAAAGCTTGTTATTCCCTAATGGACTGGGTATTTTACTTGATTATCTGTATTGTGTCTGTCTCCTACTATCACATAAGCTTCATGAAGACAGACTTTTCTCCGTTTTCTTCACTGAGTGGTATTAGAAGCATGACCACTGGGTTATTCATTCAATATTTAACAATTATTATTTTGTGCCTACTCTGAGCCAGGCAAGAGTACTGCTCTCATACTCTTTGATGTTATGATCTCCAGCAGGCTAGGCAGATCTCTGCTGTTTTTGCCGCTAATTTTTAGCCTATACTGAGTCAAGGAATTAAAAGAGTAAGATGATAATTAGACAAATACTTTGCTGTAATGCATATTTTTGGTAGCTAAATAAATAACCATGACAGCATGACCTGCTAGGCCAGAGAAAGATCGATAGGGTGTGGGAAAAATGCAAACAATGTGTTAGAGTGGCTACTCTAACCCCAACTTCCATAGACAGTCTTCTTGCTAACTGAGGGGGTCTGGACACATGGAAACCCAAATCCAAAGCCTACCACTGGCCAATGATTGGATTCAGGTCTCAGGAAGTTGCAACCTTAGGATCATAATCAAGGAAAATACTTTTGCTTAAATCTGACAAATTGCACCGATGACTCATTGAGTTTGTAATTAACGCCTCTTTGAGAACATTTTTTAAAACCATGTACAACTGTTAAATTACATTGTACTTGCCCGGAGCTTTTTTCCTGCTACTGATTTTTTTCCTACCTAAGTTTAGAATATTTATTTAAAATATTTGGCCCATCTTTTCGGCTCATCACTGTTCTCTTTCTGAGTCCCAGCTTTATCCCATCTAGCTTGCTATTATTTCTTAATTTACAAGCCAATGTTTAGTTCTCACTTATCTGCTCTATCCTTTGACTCTGATCCATCCAAAACTTACTCCATCCCATACCCATGCCCAAGCCCCTATTCCCTCTGAACACATTATAGATACAATTAATTATTGTTCTCAAAAACTATGAGCCCTAGTGTATTTTTAAATTTTAATCAATAGGCAAATGAATTTTGATTATACATTATTTGTATGTAGCCATACCTCTTTTCCCTTCTATTAGTGGTGTTAATCAAGGATTGATCAGACTGAAAACACTTTCAAGTTACATTTCTACAATTTCTACCTTTGAATTTTTCCTCTGTGGTCAAATCTGTAGGCAGCCAAAGGTATAGATAGACAGCCCATAGTTCTAGTAATCATTCTTGTTAATACTCTTCAGTGACTCTTCTAATGGGAGACTTTCCTGTGTCCAGCACAAGAATATGTACTGTTTTTAAATCATTCATGGGAACCTCTAGAGTGTATCCCAAAGTGGGGGAGTAAATTTATTTCTAAAAGCGAATTTGAAACATTTTAAAGTTTAAAGCAGGGAGAAAAAATTAGAGATGTTTGTTTTATATAGGCACATCTGGCTTGGTAATAAAACTTCAAGAAGAGGCAACTTAGGGGCTTTTGGTAAATTAGGTTATCATTAAATAATGTTTTTTAATATTATTTATCATGTGTTATTAAGCTAGGCATTGCCTGAAGCAAGGTGGTCATAGCTAAATGCCTGTAGGAAAATTAAACATGATTTGGAAGGATCTGTACCCCAATATGTTAAAATTTACTAACAGCGTCTGTGAGTACAAGATGCTGGGTCTCTTTTGTCCCAAAGATAGTATTTAGACCACAGCAATCAGCCAAATCGTTAGGCCATGTGGGATCCACCAAGGCCTTGCCTGAGACCTTATTCTTTCCATTCCCAGAAGCAACCAACAACAGTGGCACAAACATGCAAATGAACAAACCATGTGGTTCTGCAAACACTAAAAAATAAATTAGAAAAATAGAGAAAAAGCTTTTACATTGTGTTAAAAATTAGGAACAACAAAATGTACGTTTTAATTTATGAGCTCCCTTGGTATTCCATAAAGGTTTTCTCTCAAGTGAAATAATGCGCTTGCTGGTGTGATAAATTAGCAGACACCTTTTTTGGCGTCAAGTATTCCTGTGTTGCAAATCACTGATTTTATTAGATGGTGGCACTAGCAGCAGTCTAATGCTGCCTCATGAAAAAATCCATAATAATTCAATCTAATTTTAATGATCCTGGAAAATAATAGTAGATAGAGGAGTCTACTTGCTCATATTCCTAGTTTCTAGTCATGTCTGTGGAAATGAATGTGATTCATAGACTTTTGTTGCTATTTTTTTTAACAATGGATGAAACCAACTCGGTTTATCTTCACCTCTCCAGTTCACACATCATCTCTCTCCTCAGCATATTTCTTGCATCTTGTATATGTTTACAGCTTGTTTACTTATTCATTTGGTTTCTAAGCTCATTGGAGGAAGATCAAAACTAATTCAGTTGAACATTTAAACCCATTATAACTCTTCTGCATGGTAAAAATGCACATAATGGTTTACATTTTTATTTTAGAGAATAATTGAAAATAATTGTATAGAACGTTCTCTTTGGGCATATAACTAGAAATATGAGGAGTCTCTAAGACAAATAAAAAATGGATCAATGCCAGTCTTGGAGTAGACTGTTACTCTGTCTTATTTGCCTTCTAATTTCATTTGTTTATTGATATGTAAATATTTATTCATGTGACACCTCCATTGTGTGAAAGTCGTGCTATTTTCCTGCTAATGCAAACCCCCTGGGAATTCACAAGACCTTGATGAGTTCTCTCAAATAGGTCTCTATCTTTTCTCTTTGACTATAGGGAATGATTTATCCACCACAGTGTCAACACTGGAAAAGAACAGGACATTATTATATTTTTGTATGTTCTGATTCTTGTGTATTGGTACCAGTATCTACCCATCAATTAGACCATATGCATGTTTCAAATATCTCAGGATAAGAGAACATGCTACTTCTCAAGTTCCACAGTTGTTTAAATTACTTTTCTAGATACAGATAGTTATATTCGTTATATTCAAAGTTATGTTATCAGAATATGTTCTTTGCCTGATTTTGCCTGTTTGAACTATCATTTACCAACAAAAACTGCAATTACTTTTGCACCAGCCTAATATTTACTTTAATAAAATATTACTTGGTCAGTTACCCATGTTTCTATTACTGTGCATTTTCTTGTACATATGCTGTTAGTGTGATGTATATTTATTGGTGTACAATTTTAGCAGTATGAAGAATGATATTATTCTTTTGTTTCATTACATTTTATATTCATTTATTTATTTGAGACAGGGTCTCACTGTGTTACCCAGGCTGCAATGCAGTGGCATGATCATGTCTCACTGCAGCCTCAACCTCCCAGGTTTAAGTAATCCTCCCACCTCAGCCTCCTAAGTAGCTGGAGCCACAGGCACATGCCACCACGCCTGGCTAATTTTTGTATTTTTTGTAGAGATGAGGTTTTGCCATGTTGTCCAGGCTGGTTTCGAATTCCTGGGCTCACACAATCTGCCTGCCTCAGCCTCCCAAAGTTCTGAGTTTACAAGTGTGAGCCCCTGTGCTCGGCCTGTTTTATTACATTTTAATGGCTTTCACCACCATTTGTGTCTGATGCTACTGAGAAACGTATCCTTTAATAGATATATAATACTTTGAAAGTAAGTGGTAACAAGAATTTCCTAAGAGAAAATCTGATTACTAGAATTATAATAAAAAGATCTGTTCAGTTTCCTCAGTGAGACAGAAAAGACTCTAGTCTGGAGAAATACAGATTAAAAGTAATGCAGAGTTTACTTGCTAAGTTTGCTTTATGGGTGTGCATGCCTATAACAGACTGTTTACCTGACTCATCGTTCTTGGAGGTTAGGGAGGCCACATTCTATTCTGACATACTGCATAATTACTGTTTTTGCAGACATTGATGATCAGCCCTAGAAGTCCTTGTGTTTTCATGGGTCACATTCCATCTATTTCTTTAGTCCTACAGTCCCACATTCCTATACTTTTTTTTTTTTTTTTTTTTTTTTGGGACGGAGTCTCACTTTGTTGCCCAGGCTGGAGTGCAGTGGCACGATCTTGGCTCACTGCAAGCTCCGCCTCCCAGGTTCGCGCCATTCTCCTGCCTCAGCCTCCCGAGTAGCTGGGACTACAGGCACCTGCCACCACGCCCGGCTAGTTTTTGTATTTTTTAGTAGAGACCGGGTTTCACCATGTTAGCCAGGATGGTCTCGATCTCCTAACCTTGTGATCCGCCCACCTCAGCCTCCCAAAGTGCTGGGATTACAGGTGTGAGCCACCGCGCTCCGCCATTCCTATACTTTTACAGCCAAATCTACTTGCTTCATCCAGTTGTTCCTCAGGTGGGTAAAAGATTTATTAATTCTCTAAAGATAGACAGCATATTCCAGATATCCTGTTTATCTGGAAAATAACTGATTTGGACCATACCGTATAATAATCTACTCTACTCTCAAAAACCCAAAGAAGAAATACCTGTCTTAATTTATAAATTTTGGCTAATCTTTCTTGTGGCAGATGGAAATGTCAATAACCATTCATAATCTCTCCAACTGAATTACGAAGAGTATTTTGTTCTTAATTGGATTTTGCTTTTTAAGTATGAAAATATCTTACTGTAGCACATGGTTTTTGCTGTTGTTGCTTTCCTCCTGAAATATCTGCTAGGACTTAGGCTGCAGGATAGTTGACTCTTTATCTTCTCCAGCATATATCAGTACTGGTACTGATATCTTCAACATGTAGGCTCAGTCTCTCCAATCCCTAAGTCAAACCTTAATTGATCCTGAGCAAGGTGGACCTTCTAATGGTGGACTTAGACTCTTGGGCAGGTGGGTAAAGAATTACTGGTGCAGCTGTAGTTTCTGTATCCGTGTGATTGGAGTATGCTTGAGTTGTCAGGTAGAGTTGGACTTTGGGGGTATGCATGCTTTAATATACATAGAGTTCCTTACCAAGATGGTTATTTCTTTTATTTGCTGATTCATCGTAATACTGGCATATTGCATTCTTCTTGACCACATTTCGAAATGCTCTCACTTGGAGCCCTACTTCCAAGACCTAAGTTGCCTGGACATAAAAATAAGACAGAAGGAATCCAGTTGTCCAGAAGGTAGTACAGACCATCTTTAGAGCATGTGGGGGAACTTTTTCTGGTTTGGCCTAATCCATATCCACTCTCTAAATTCTTATATTCCTCCTTATACCTGTGATGTTTCCTAAATAATGGATAGCCTAACTTGGGAGGCAACTTGTACCCTATACGTACTGTCTCTTTTCTTTCTATTTTTTAAAATAGAGGTGGGGTCTCACTATGTTGCCCAGGCTGGTCTCGAACTCCTGAGCTCAAGTGATCCTCCTGCCTTGTCCTCCCAAAGTGCTAGGATTACAGGTGTGAGCCACCATGCCTAGGCATGTCTCTTAACTTTTCCTCAGCTTCTGAAGTTTTCCGTAGCATTAGAGCAATACATGGACTTTCCTGTATATGATGTTGTGGTGGGAAGATGTTTAATAGCATTCCCAGGGATATATAAAACCACAAGATAAGTTGGTTTAGTTTCCCAAAACTCAAGCTATTATTTCCTAAAGTTCTCCAGTTTAGCTTGGGATCAGTGGGAGTAGTTCTGCTGCTCTACCTGGTGACCACTGGAGCTAGAGTATTTAAGATGGAGTGTTTGAGATGGTTTCTTTCTAACATGTCTGGTGCCTCAGCTGCAAGAGCTGCGAGAGCTGGTGGTTAGCCAGGCATTTCTTTCTCTCTCCACATAGTCTTTCCATTAGGGTAGCTGAATCTTTTTACGTGGTGGCTCAGGGCACCGAAAGAGAGCGTTCCAGGAAGACAAAGCTCATTGTGAAAGTACTTACTAAACTTCTGTTTGCATGGTACTTGCTAATACCCCATTGGGCAAAGGAAGTCACATGCCCCAGCCTAAGGTCAATGTGGGAAGGGCTTGAATACTGAAGACATGATTCACTGGGAGTCACCAATGGAGTAATGTGCCATGAATTTTAAAGATGAAGCATGTAATTTCAAGATAACTTTACTCTTATGGTGGGCCAGGACTCAACTATACTGGATAGTGCATTTCCTTTTTTCTGTTGCTGAGAACCAGTCTAAGCCAGTTTAGTATGCACAACTATTAGCTTCTTTTTGGTATATCTTGGGAGTTGTTAATGATTGGAGGTAATGAGGGTTAATTACTCTCTCATAACCTTGTATCAGGTTATAAGGAAAGCAAGTCCCAGACCAAATTCTGCTATTCACGTAGAGTAGCATGTCTGAAAGCAGGCACAAAACAATCCTAAACTACTCTGCATACATCTCTTAGGGATCTAGCCTAGGGCTCTATTCCTAAGGATGTAGGTTCCAGAGTTCACTAGAATCTTACAACCTCTTTGTGTAAGCATGGAGAACATCCATAACATATTTCTGACTTCCCAAATGAAAGCCAAATTTTTATCAATTAACCAGCCACAAATTCCACCAATAAAAACCCACTTCTAACATTATGCTGATTAGAAAAGCTCCAGCTTTGATGGAAGAAAATAATGACTAAAGAACTTTTAGTCTTTTCTAGTGCATGACCTTTCTAATAAAATTAGCTAATCATCCCTAGAGAGTAGATTTATGATCAGGGCAATATCCTGTAACAAGAGTGTAACTGTAACTGACATATACAATCTATACTAAAGAATATTAAAATAAAGTGGGGATAAGTTGGTCAAAGGGTGAAAAGTTGTACTTATGCATGATAAATAAGCTTTGCTAATCTATTTTGCAGCGAGAGTAGATACTAAATATTCTTCCCACAACAAGGATGATAAATATGTGAGGCAATGGATAGGTTAATTACCTTGATTTAATCATTTCACAATGTACACATATATCAAAACATCACTTTGTATACCATAAGCATATGCATTTTTTATTTGCCAATTATACTTTAATAAAGTAGGGGTAAAAAAGTATAGATACCGTAATATGTGCCTTTAAGGGTGCTTTGGTGGAAAAATTGGAGAAGCTTCTTCACCAGAAAATTAGGACCTTGAGGATTATGCCTTGTGGATGAATTGCTTCTGAGAACAGATTGGAGAAGCCTTCACCAGCTTCAGCAGAAAATTAGGACCTTGAGGATTATGCTTTGTAGATGAATTGCTTCTGAGAACAGCAGCATCCCGGTTCTCAAGGAAATGTTTCCAAAACAAATCTAAGTTTTGTGCACATATGAAAAATCCATAATGTTAAAAACATGTTATAAATTTTTTTTCTTGTATTTTAATTGTTTGTTTTCAAACACACACAAAAGTAGAAGCTATACCCATCACTCAGTTCAGTGACTATCAGTATATGACCAAAATGCTTTATCTCTAACCCCCTGTCACTTTCCTCCCTGCTCTTTACACCAGATACATTATTTAAAAGTAAATCCTAGATACAATGCCATTTCATCTCTAAGTACTTCAGTGTATATTTCTAACAAGGGATAAGAGTTCCTATTAGCCTAAGAATAATACTATCAATACACCTAAAAATGAACAATTCCTCCATGTTGTCAGTGTTCAAATTTCTCTGAATCATAATTAGAATTGCAGATGCTCTTTGACTTACAGCAGGGTTATGTCTTGGTAAATCCATCATATGTTGAAAAGGTTGTAAGTCAAAAACGCATTTAATACACCTAATCTACTGAACATCATAGCTTAGCCTAGCTATGTGCTTAAATGTGCTTAGAACACTTACATTAGCCTGCAGTTGGGTAAAATCATTTAACACAAAGCCTATTTTATAGTGGTGTTTAATATCTCATGTAATTTATTGAGTACTGTTCTGAAAGTGAAAAACAGGATGTGGTTGTATGGGTACTCAAAGTATGGTTTCTACTCAATGCACACCAAAAAATTGTAAGTCAGGGATCACCTGTAGTTTGATTCGGGACTCAAACAAGATTGCATTTGGTTGATATGTACCTTGGGCCCTTATATTTCCTGTAAATTGGTAAATCCAGAGCAGGGTTTTTCAACCTCAGCACTCTTATCAGTTTGTACTGGATAAGTATTTGTTGTTGGGGGTTGCTCTATGTTCTAGGTTGTTTAGCAGCAAACCTGGCCTCTGTCTACTAGTTGCCAGTAGCACTGGCCTCCAGTGTGACAATGAAAAATGCCTTTAGACATGGCCTAACGTGCCCTGGGGGCAAAATTGCCCCAGTTGAGAGCAACTGAATGGGATTTGATCCCATTTGTATTTAATATTTTGTCAAAAATATTTCACCATTGATATTTCTTATTGCATCACATTATAAGCACCTCTTTTTGATTATGGGTCCAAGCGCTGGCAACATGATTCATTCATGGCAAAGTTTCCCACTTATCTTTTTTTTTTTTTTTCCAGACAGAGTCTCACTCTGTCACCCAGGTTGGAGTGCAGTGGCACAATCTCGTCTCACTGCAACCTCTGCCGCCCGGGTTCAAGCGATTCTTCTGCCTCAGTCTCCCAAGTAGCTGGGACTACAGGTGCCTGCCACCATGCCCGACTAATTTTTGTAGCTTAGTAGAGACAGGGTTTCACCATCTTGGCCAGGCTGGTCTTGAACTCTTGACCTCGTGATCCACCTGCCTCAGCCTCCCAAAGTGCTGGAATTACAGGCATGAGCCACTGGGCCTGGCCAGTTTCCCACTTATGCCGAAGGATTTAACAGCTGCTGATGATCATTGCCCAGATCAGTTGTTGTATTAGGGATTTCAGGAGAGATTTTCTAATTTTATCTTCTTTCTTCACTTATTTTCTGGAATTTTTCTATATAGAAGAACTTTTCCTTCTTAACTATCTGATTACCATAAAATAATTTCTACAGGAGTGGGAGAATAAATTTGGTTCATTCTCATTATTTACCATTTTTCTGAAAAATGAATTAGTGTCCAGTGAGTCTTTCTTTTAGTATAACTCTGAACTCATGGCTTTAAAACATATATTTGATGCATTTTAATCCACTGTGATCATTATTTTTTCTAATGCTCAAATTGCCCTGTGGGAAATAGGAGCCCCTTAAAGTTTGCTCCTGTTTCTTTGACAAGATGGTGGTCTTTAGTCAGTTTTAAATTTTCTGGTATGACAAGGTGTTATAGGATCATCTCAAACAATTTTCTTTTGTAGCCTTGAAGTCAGCTATTTTCCTAAGAAGTCTTGGTTTGTTTCACTGGGAGGTGTTATATAGAGATCATGATCTGTGTGCTAGGGGTGCTCATTGATTTTGAGTTATTATTGCTTCTAGGTTTTTCTGGAGAATAGAGTTTGGAAGTAAGTTTTTCTTTAAAGGGAAAAAATTAAATGAGTTCTCATTGATGTTTCTAATCAAATTTAGTATTATAAAGATTTTTATTTAATTCCTTTGATATACCATTTGCATTTCATTTCTCTTACACTAAACATTTTATTTCTAACAACTTAAGAATTACTTGTTTTTTATTATATAAGTTTCAAAATAATAATATTATTATTACTAACAATATTATTATTGAATGTAGTTTAGGATTTCCTTGCAGTAATTTTTATTCTTAGGATATATGCCTTTGGGGAGAGAGAGATTGTTTCAAATTCATATGTTGAAACTTAATTACCAGTGTGATAATATTAAGGGTGGGGCTATGTAAAGACACAGCGTTGATGTCCTCAGGAGGATGTAGCAACAGGGTGCCATCTTTGAAGCGAAGAGGAGCCCTCACCAGACACTGAACCTGCTGGCACCTTGATCGTGAACTTCCCTGCCTCCCAAACTGTAAGAAATAAATTTCTATTATTTATCAATTACCCAGTCTCAGGTATTTTGTTATAGCAGCATAAATAAACTAAGACAGCTTCTCTGATTTGGAGGGACACGTTCAGACCGTAGCAGAAGTCTCGCTTCCATCTCTGCTCCCTCCACTCTATTCCCTCCCTTTTCTTAGAGTATGCACCCTCAATGGAGGTGATATTCTTCCCAAGGGGGTAAAAATTTGTTTGGGTGTTGTGTGAAAAAATGTTAGTAGTCATAATGGTTTGTGGCCCTCCAAATCTCAAAATTACCTAACGAAATCTTGTTTCTTAGTGTTTAATTTCTGTCATTAGAGAGAATTTAAACACTTCAATGTTTCCTTCAGGAAGATGATAAAAAAGAGATTTAGAAACACTGCTCTACAGGTGATCATCTTGTTATATTTGAGTATCCTTCCATTTAATCAAAATATATTCATATAAGTGGGCATATGTAAAAATGTAAGTATTTGTATTTTTTTTCTTTCTCAGATAAAAGGCACAAGCCTTGTGCATGTGCATACACACCGTCCTGCCCTTGCTTTTTTTCACTTAACAATATATTTTGGAGAAAACTCTATGGCAAAATGATCCCCAGCTGAGAGTAATTCTGTATAACAGTACTGAGAGCTATCTCACTTCTTTTTACGGCAGCATCATACCATTTTGTGCATGTACCATAGTTTATTAAAGCAGTAGCCTATTGATGGGCATTGAGTTGTTTCCAGTCTTTTGCCATTATAAAACTGCTGCAATAAATGTCCTTATGCTTACTTACATCATTTTACTTCTTTGCTAATGTATCTTTGGTAGGATTCTTATAAGTGGGATTGCTGAGTCAATGTGTAAAAGTATATGTAATTTTTCTAGATATTGTCCAAATTCCCCTCCTTAGGGATTGTACTACTTTACATTTCCAACAGCAAGATATAAGGGTGTCTGGCTTTCCATAGCCTCACCACAGAGCATGTTGTTAAATATTTGGAATTTTGTCCATATGTTTAGGAGACATTTACTTTTCTTTTTCTGTGAACTGTATCATTTGCCCATTTTTCTATAGGAATCTTCATATTCTTTTCTAACAGTTCCCTATTAGAGATATTAAGACTTTACAAGTGATTTATGTTGCAAATCTTTCCCCAGAAACCTCCACAAAAATTTATGTTTGTCTTTTGATTTTGCTTATGTTATGTTATTTTTCAATGCAAAAGTTTCTTTGTTATGTGTGATCCAATGTATCCCTTTTCCTTTATCACGTCTGGCTTTTAAGTCAAAGAAGTTTTCTCCAATTCCAGGCAATAAAAGAGTAACCCATACTTTCTACTAATTCTTATGTAGTTTATTTATTCATTTATTTAACATTTAGATTCATTTGGAATTAATTCTGGCATTTAGTGTAAGAAATGACTCCAGTTTTATATTTTTATACATAACTAACCAGATGTCCATTAGACAGTCCATTTGTTCCCTACTGATTTGAGATGCTGCCTTTAAAACATTCTAAACTTCCATATTCAGTGTCATATACTTTTGGATTTTAATTTATTTTTCTATTTATCTATCTACCAATTTGTATGCTCATACTGAAGGCTTTATGATATGTTTTAATATCTGGTGGGGCTAGCCTCCCTTCCCCATTGTTATTTTTTATTGTTTCCATTGATATTATTGCTTGTTATTTCAAATAAAATATATAGTTAACTTGTCTAGCTCTGAGAAAAAAGTGATATATACAGGCATACTTCAGAGATACTGCAAGTTCAGTTCCAGACCACTACAATAAAGAGAATATCACAATAAAGGAAGTAACATGATTTTTTGGCTTCTCAGTGCATATAAAAGTTATGTTTACACTACAGTATAGTCTATTAAGTGTGCAATTGTATTATATCTGAATAAATAATGTATATTTCTTAATGAGAAAAATACTTCATTGCTAAAAAATACTACCATCTGAGCCTTCAGCACGTGGTAATCTTTTTGCTGGTGGAGGGTCTCGCCTCATTGTAGATGGCTGCTGACTGATCAGGGTGGTGGTTGATGAAGGTTGGGGCAGCTGTGCAATTTCTGAAAATAAGACAATACTAAAGTTTGCTGCATTGATTGACTCTTCTTTGATGAAAGATTTCTCTGTAGCATGCGATGCTGTTTGATAACATTTAACCCACAATAGAATTTCTTTCATAATTAGAGTCAATCCTCTCAAACCCTGCCCCTGCTTTATCAACTAAATTTATGAACTATTCTAAATCATTTGTTGTTATTTCAACAATGTTAACAGAATCTTCACCAGGAGGAGATTCCATCTCAGGGAACCACTTTCTTTGCTCATCCATAAGAAGCAACTCCTCATCTCTTTAAGTTTTATCATGAAAATACAGCAATTCAGTCATATTTCCAGACTCCCCTTCTATATAGTTCTCTGGCTTTTTCCACCATATCTGTAGTGACTTCCTCCACAGAAGTCTTGAACCCTCAAAATCATCCATAAAGGTTGGAATCACCTTCTTCCAAAATACTGTTAATGTTGATATTTTGTCCTTTCAGGAGTCAGGAATGTTCTTAATTGTACTTAGAATGGTGAATTCTTTACAGAAGGTTTTCAATTTACTTTTCTAAGATCCATCAGAGGAATCACTATCAATGGCAGCTACAGCCTTACAAAAAGTATTTCTTAAATATTAAGACTTGAAATTACTCCTTGAACCATGGCCTGCAGAATGGATATTGTGTTAGCAGATGTAAAAACAACATTAATCTTCTTGTACATCTCCATAAGAACTCTTGGGTGACCAGGCACATTGTCAATAAACAGCGATATTTTGAAAGGATTTTTTTTTTTCCTGAGTAATAGATCTCAAAATTGGGCTTAAAATATTCAGTAAACCATGCTGTAAACAGATGTGCTGTCATCTAGGCTTTGTTGTTCCATTTATAGAGCACAAGAAGAGTAGATTTAGCATCATTCTTTTAAAATAAACTTTACATGAATTTATTAATAAATTTTTATTAATAAACTTTATTTTAAATAAAACTTTATTTTTATTAATAAACTTTATTAATAAACTTTATGTGAATAAAAGAACTTGAGACAATTTAGCTCAATTTTAATAAAATGTTTCCCAAGCATTATTTTGACCAGGTACCCAGGTTTAAGTTACGAACATTGACAGTGTCCATTATATAACCACACTGGAAGTTATTAAGGACTTAACCATTTTCTAGTATTAGCCTATTTTCTACACTGCTTTTCACATATATGCCCATTAACAAATGTAATGTCTGTTACATTTATTGGTTTATGAGTGTTTCTGGAAAACTGCACTATGTGTGAAGACCAATTTCCACGCTGGCATTGCATGCATCCAAATATTAATGCACAGAGGCACAGAATTAGAGCAACAAGAGAGCATATTCAAACACTAGCATGCCTCATTCCCCTTTTTATTGCTTATTTTGCTTAGTACTTCTTAAAACAAAAATAAAAATCTTGAATTCAACGTTCAACTGCCAAAGAAAGAATAACAGCAGGGCACATACTCAGGGCTCGAATGAAATTGTAAGCACTACCTGGCGCCAAACACAGTAGACATTGATATATATATATCAAAACCTTATTATCTAAAACTCTTCTCAACTAGGGCCTTCCAAACAAATTGGTAACAACATGATTTATGTTGAAATATACACAATAAGTAACAGTATGTTCTTTGGGAATTTAAGAACTCTGATTATCCAAATTTGAATTCAGGTCTGTAGGAAGTGAGAGGCTTGTACTAAGCAACTGTGCTACATTTCTGCTGCAGTTAGGTTATTTTGGACAATTATACCTAAACTATCCTTGGTTTCATCCAGCAGAATGTATAGGGTACAAACAGGAAAGAATGTCAGCCAGTTAGGGGTTTAATAATGCATGATTTTTATTCTCTTGCTCTGAGAACTTGTATAAAAAATTTAAACCAAGGAAAATAACTCAAGATGTATGGACTTCTTGTGCTTTCTGAAAGAAAAAAAGGTACCCACTAATTTGCTCAGATATAGCAGGCTTAATGGTTCTATATTTTGAAAAGACTTTAAGAATGGTTTCTAATACAGGAGAGGGAAAACATCCACTATCCCTTTTCAGAATTTAAATGGAGGGCGGTAAACATTCTTTACACCCAAAACCTGTGGCAGCAGTTCAAATTTGACCAAGGTAAATATAGAATGGAGATGCTCTAAACACAGCTAGGACTCAGCAAGTCTAACACACTAAAATCATATGATTACATTTTAAAAGAAAATACACAAAAACCAAATAGAAATTTTGAGATTTTTTTCATTTGAAGGTAATCTTAATGCTATTAAATTCACAAATGCTGATTTAAATACCCAATCCTATTTATCTAAAACATACATTGCAAACACACAGATATCTGTTCTCTCCACATGTCAGCACCCATTCATGTCATGGTTTGGAAATGGGGAGAACAGATTCCCCTTAAACTGAAAGTCAGCAGGTGTTTCTTTACAGTTAACTTTAGCAACATTCATACAAAATAATAATTAACAATGACCTTCTTGTTAACGCACAAGGAAACGCCTTCAAAACTGCATTTTGTTAAAGTTTCTGTACTAAAATGTAGAAAAACTGAACTACACAAATATTGAAAAGTTAAAAATTCCTTTTTATTCCTGGTACCACTACCACAATTTACAGGGCAATATACCTGATGTAATGAAAAGAAAAAGACAAAGACAAAGCTACAACAGATAAAAGACCTCAGGAATATACATCTAATTGACACTACATTGCATTAATCAATAGCTGCACTTTGTGCAAACTGTGGCTATGACAGTCCTGAACAAGAAGGGTTTCCTGTTTAAGCTGCAGTAAGTTTTCTGACTATGGATCATCGTTCCTTCTGTGGCAGATTTTTACAGTTCCTCTAATGCATTTGAGACGACTGTCTCAAAGTAACCTGCAGCCTTCCTGACAACTCACTCTCTCTCTTGCTAAGAACTGTAGCCCTTTTCTGCTGTTTTTAGAACCTTCTGCTACCATATCCACCACTTCCAACACCAGTCCCACCACCATAGGGACTGCCCAAGCTTCTTCCACCAAAACTGCCCTCTTTCATGGGTCCATAATTTGATTGTTGTTGTCCACTATAATTTCCAAAATCATTATAGTTCCCACCACCACTATAGTTACCACCGCCAAAATTTCCTCCTTCACTGTGACCATCATATCCTCCACCACCGCCAACATATCCACCACCTTGGTTTCCATATCCTCGTGTACCACCACCATAGCCCCCTCTACTACTATAACCAGGACCACTGCGGGAAGTTGCCACCATCACCTCCAAGTCCATTATATCCACCATCACCTCCTCCATGACTACCTCTGCTGCCACCACCTCCACCACCATAGCCTCCTCTTCTACCAAAGTTTCCACCACAGCCAAAATTATCTCCATCACCTCCAAAGTTTCCTCCACAATGCATAAAATTGCCAGATCCACGTCCATGACCCCTCTGTGACCCAGCAGACTGCATCTCTTGTTTAGAAAGGGCTTTTTTCACTTCACAATTATGCCCATTATTAGTGTGGTATTTCTGAACAACAATTTTATCAGCTGTATCATGATCATTAAAAGTTACAAAAGCAAATCTTCTCTTTTTTCCATTCTGCCTATCTTCCATAACTTCTATGGTTTCAATCTTGCCATACTTTTCAAAACAGTCTCTCAAATTCTATTTTTCTGTATCTTCTTTAATACCACCAACAAAAATTATCTTCACTGTTAGAGACCAGGCTTTACAGAATCCTCTGTAGAAACAGCTCTCTTTGGTTCCACTAAACGCCCATCAACCTCGTGTGGTCGAGCACACATTGCTGCATCCACCTCTTCAACACAAGAATAAGTCACAAAATGAAAGCCCCTGGAACGTTTGGTTTGGAGGTCTCTCATTACCACACAATCTGTCAGTGTGTACCATTTCTCAAAATGTTCTCTTAAATCTGCAGTTTCACAGCTTAGACTACCAATCAACAGTTTTCTCAACTGTTCTGGTTCATTCGGATCATGGCCCTCCTCCCCCTGGCTGCTGCAATGGCTGGAGTTGGGCTGGGGGTGACCCGGAAGTGGTTTTACCTCCATTTTGAGAGATTTAGCATCATTCTTAAGGGCCCTAGGATTTTTGGAATGGTAAATGAGCTTCAACTTCAACCTACTAATTCAACCTGCTGTATTAGCCCCTAACAAGCGAGTCATTCTGTCTTTTGAAACTTTTAAGCCAAGCATTGACTTCTTCTCTCTAGCTGTAAAAGTCCTAGATGGCGTTTTCTTCCAATAGAAATCTGTTTCGTTTGCATTGTGTTATTTAGTATAGCTACCTTTGTTGATGATTTTGGCTAGATCTCCTGGATAAGTTGTTGCAGTTTGTATGTTGGCACTTGTTGTTTCACTTTCCACTTTTATGTTATTGAGACCGCGTCTTTCCTTAAACCTCATGAATCAACTTCTACTCTTTTGCTAGTGTCCAACTTTTCTTCTTCAGCTTCCTCACCTCTTCCAGCCCAGCCTTTGTAGAATTGAAGAGAGTTAGAGCCTTGTCCTGGATTAGGCCTTGGCTTAAGGGAATGCTGTGGCTGGTTTGATCTTCTACACAGACAACTAAAACTTTCTCTAGATCAGCAAGAAGGCTTACATTCTTATCATTCATGTGTACACTGGAGTAGCACTTTTAATTTCCTTCAAGAACTTTTCCTTTGCATTCGCAACCTGGGTAACTGTTTGGCACCAGAGGCCTATCTTTCGGCCTGTCTTGGCTTTCAACATGCCTTCCTCACTAAGCTTAATCATTTCTAGCTTTTGATTTAAAGTGGGAGATGTGCAACTCTACCTTTTACTTGAACACACAGAGGCCATTGTAGTGTTATTAATTGGTCTAATTTCAATACTGTTGTGTCTCAAGGCAATGGGAGGCCTGAGGAAGGAGAGAGATGGGGAAATGGCCCATCAGTGAAGCAGTCAGAACATACACAACATTTATTGATTAAGTTCATTGTCTTATATGGGCTAGGTTCCTGGCGCCCCAAAACAATTACATTAGTCACATCAAAGGTCACTGGTCACAGATCACCATAACAGATAATAATAATAAAGAATTCTTTGAAATATTATGAGAATTACTAAAATGTGACACAGAGGCATGAAGTGAGCACATGCTGTTGGAAAAATGCCACGAACCTTCAATATGTTAAAAATGTAGCATCTGAGAAGTGCAATAAGGTGAAGTGTAATAAAACGAGGTATGGCTGTCTTTTTCATTGGGATTATGTTAAATTCATAAAGTCATTTAGGGAGAACTGACATTTTGATGATGTTGAGTTTTCCTAAAAGAAGCACAATGTGCCTTTTCATTTGTTCAAGCCTATTTCTGTGTCTTTCCCGAGTGTTCTACAGTCTAGACATATTTTGACTGTCATACCATGTAAAGAGCAAGGCTGTCTCCCTCCCATCCCACACACAACTTCCAGTACATATGTTTTCAGACTCATCCTCTCAGTTTTGTAGCTAGGATCATTTAAACCTGATTCTGCCTTTCTGGAAATTTGGGAGGTAGGGAGAAGAATTGCACGTAGAATCATGAGGGTATGGGCTTTGGAGTCAGACTGCCATTAGGTTAAATTTGGCTCTGTCATTTATCAGCTCTGTGACCAACAGCAAGTCCTCATTGGCAAAATAGAGATTTTTAGCTGTATTAGTTCGTTCTCATGCTGCTATAAAGACATACCTACGACTGGGTAATTTAGAAAGAAAAGAGGTTTAATTGGCTCGTGGTTCTGCGGGCTGTACAGGCTTCTGCTTCTGGTGAGACCTCAGGCAACTTAAGAATAATGGCAGAAGGTGAAGGGGAAGCAGGCATGCCTTACATGCTGGAGCAGGAGGAAGATAGAGTGAAGGGGGAGGTGCTATACACTTTCAAACAACAGAGAACTCTATCACGAGATAGCACTAGAGGGATGTTGCTAATATTAGAAACCACCCCCATGATCAAATCACCTCCCACCAGGCCCTACCTCCCATATTGGGAATTACAATTCAACATGAGATTTGGATGGGGAGACAGAGCCAAACCATATCATACCTTTCATGGAAATAAGAATTGGATAGGATAACCCATGTAAAGCAACTAGCACAGTGCCTGATATGAATAAGAGCGCAATTTAAGTGGTAGCTCTTACTTGCCCTAGGCACTGAATTTTCCCAGTAACTATTCTGGTAGTGAATAATTTCCAGTATGGAATTGAAAACCCTATCACAGGCCTCTTGATGTGATGTGTTTGTAATGCATCATACACTGTTACGTATATTTTTAAAAAAATCTATCCATCTTCCACCCATGTTAGTTTCATTGATTCCTGGCAATACCATGCTATTTTGAGGTTTTTCTTTTTTCCCATGAGTTGGCATTTTTCAGACTTTATATTTTGTCTCACTTTTACAAAATGCTGGACTAACCTGAACGTAGCGGCAGAAGCTTCACTAGTCTGAACAGTGATGGATCATCTTTTCCTGGAAGCCATCAATCAACAGTAGCTAACAAGAATATGGAGGGGGGCAGGAGTGGAAGGGGGTGCGAAGGTCACTTTACTTGGTTCACTGACTACTTGCTGTGAGCCCTTTTGATTGATGTAGTAAAAATTTCTGCTGATTGCATCACTATTTCAGGAGAGTGTTGACTTGCTTTCCCCAAGCAGATTTCCGATTTTAGTTGAGAATCAGCATTCTAAACTCTTACCATGTTATGCAGACAGCAACATTAATTGAGCACCCACTGTCTGCTGACCGCTACACAACAGAGTTAATAGTACGTAGAAGGCCAGGGATGGCTTGTCTTAGGGGCTCAGTCTGGCTGTACTCAGGGGACATGGGCCTGGCTGATGGGCAATTTATTGATTTAAGGAAAGTGGGCTGATGAGTGCTCAGCCACCATGGAGGGTGCAGGGCTGGGTGTGCTTGTTCACCTGACATGAGGGTCACCACAGGGAGGCCAAGGTAGGGACAGGAATGAAGATTCTTTGTTGTAGATGCAGGGAGTGAAGCTTGGGGCTGTGGCCAATAGACTAAGAGGCAGTCATGTAGTCCTAAAGCTTCAAATGAAAGCTATGGAAATCGAGCAGATGGTGGGGCAGAAGGTAAGCCAAGGTCAGAGGCAAGTAGCAAGCATTTCTCTTGGGAGGTGGGTTGCCCTTACAGGCTGTGAGGGGAGGTGCCACCCTTTGCAGAGGACAGCACAGGACAGCCCTGGGAGTCGAGCCAGTGAGCAGGGTCTCAAAGGGACCCTGACCTCAGGGTGGGAGAGGCCCTGTGCCTGGAGCTAACAGGCTCCACACTCCATAAGCAAAGTTGCTGTACCCAGTAGGGATGGAATCATATCAATAATAGCAGCACCTTCATTTATTTAGTGCTTTTAATGCTTCAGAGAGCTTTCTCCTCTTTTACCGCACACGTATAAAGTGCTGCACTTTCCCCGGGGAGACGACGCCAGTGGCTTCCCATCAGCTCTTGCCCTTTGTGTTGTTTTCCCAGAAGTGTTTATAGACTTGTCTGATTAAACCATACTTTTTGGTCTCATGATAATCCACAGGAATTGGAAATGTCAGAGTGAAACCATATATTGTCCATATCCTCACACTTTTTGAATTTTTAAATTTTTTTATAATAGATTTGGGGGATATAAGTGAAGACTTTTTTACATGCATATGTTGTGTAGTGATGAAGTATACTCACACTTTTGTGAGATATGAACACACACATTCATTTTTTCAACTGAAAATTCTTATTGTGAACATACAAGTTAGCAGGCCCTGCTTGGTGCTATACATGTACACATATTTCTATGTAAAAGATGTGTCTATATGTTATTATCCTATAAAATCTCCTCCTACCCAGAGGTCAGACTGGTGGTGGCCTCAAACATTCAGAACACGAGTTGGAAAAGGGTCGTAAGGGAGGCTAGAAGCTGCAGACGGTTAGAGACTTCATTCCACAGGAAAGACAGAATTGCCCTCAGGCGGTTGCTCAGAACTACTGTGTGTATAATGCAGCAGATGATAGCAGCAGGACTCACTGACCTCGGTGAGAAATGACAGCTGACAGCAGAGGGAGGGGACAGAAGAACTCTTGAAAGCAGAATCATTTCTTCTGAATTCTCTCTGGTTCTTCAGCACAATGGTCTGAGGCCATTTCATTCTGAGCAGTGCTACATTAAATAGCACAATAATTAATAGTCAAAATGCTACTAGCTCATGTTTGCATAGCTTTTTAGAAATTACAATTCTTTACAGTATATGGTCTTATTAAATCAATGCAAAATCGCTATGGCAGCATCCATCAGAATCACCTGGAAGTTGTTAAAACACACATTGCTGCTTGCTTGTCCCTACCTCCTCCCAACTTGAGTTTTTGATTCAGTAGGTCTGAAGTGGGGCCCCAAGTCAGTCTTCCTGACAGTTTCCCACACGACTCTGCTGCTGCTGGCTGGGGCCACACTTTGAGAACCACTGCCCTCTAGGGTATGTGTGGCTTCTTGTATTATTACTGTCACTATTTTACAGAGGAAAAATGAAGTTTCAGAGAAGTTGAATTACTTAACCAAGGTCACCCAGGTGGCAGATTTCAGACTTCAGTTTAAGTCTTCGAAGAATAAGCCATATGTTTTTTCAACTATGTGCTATTGTCTCAGATTTTTTTCCTAAAAAATTAGAGTTTAACACGTTAGATTTTCTTCAAAGTACTTGGAATTAAAACATTGTCATTGTAGTTTATTAGAACATTTACGTATGTGGCATATATTCTTCTTTGACAATACTGGATGGGGTTCTTGGTATGTGTAGCTTCTGGAGCACTTAGAACATTCAAATAAATGCTAAGAAATTAGGGTGACTGGGTGGAGAAGGAACACATGGAGGAAGTAGGATTTGAAGTGACTGGGGCAGGTGCAAATCCTTTGGAAAAGAGCCATAAAGTAGCGGAAAGACATGACAGTTAGCAGATCAGAGGGAAACTGGTATTTTAGGAGCATTTTCCTGCATGGATAATTTAGCCAACCCAGAATGCTTGTATTGACTTTGATTTGATGTTGGTCTTCTCTAGAGGGAGTCTGTAAGGGTTTTTTCCAGCTAAACAACCATTTTGCTTCCAGGTTAAGAATGCCTAAGAAAATATCCTATTATGTTCATGGAAATATCCTATTATGTTCAAGAAAATATCCCTTATGTTCATGTTTATGTGTCGATTTTTCTTTTCTGTGAGTTTTTTCCCAAGTCCTTTCTAAATCAATTACAGAGTTATGAAGAAGCCTTTTAAGCACCTCTAAAGGCATTTTAAAGAAAATTCCGAGATCACTTATGTCCTTTCATTTCAAGACTGTGATAGCTGCCATTAATGCAGAAATGTGACATTAGTCTTTCAGGTTGTAACCAGGCTGGATCAGGTGGGGTTCAGTCAGGATAACAAAACCCCTGTAGGCATTTTAAATATGGAGAGATTTAATAAAGGTATTGAGGTGCTTACAAAACCATGGGAAAGACTGGAAGAGTGAAAATCAAGGAGACTGACATTAGTTTCGGGTTTACTGCCACAGAAAAGCAGAGAGCTGTTGCAGCTAAGAATCAAGAACCTGCAGGAATGTGGCCAGTGGCCTCACAGCTTTCTTCAGTGCTGAGGGGCTGAAATGGGAAGGAAACAAAGACGCCACTGCATAAACATACCTGTGAAACTCACGTATTTGTCTGCCAGTGCTTCCAGAACAAGAAAAAAGAATGTCTTCTTCGTCTCTTCCACCTTACTAGTCTTGCAGGAGTGCAATTTTATTGATGAAATCTAAGAACTTTCGAGTTTACAGGATCCATTTGAAGTAAAATTTATGTCACTACACAGATGTGGCTTTTTCTTCAAATTACCAACTAGGGGTGGACACACGGAATTTTGCTGGAAGTGGAGGTCTTCACATCTCATTACCAAACCTCTGAGCTATGAAGTTTCACTGCATTTGCAGTTTCTGTATTTGGTTTTGCTTGACAGGTATTCATGACTTATTGATTGTATTTTTATTTGTAATAAAACCTTAATTCTTAGGAATCATGCTAAAGCAGAAGCTTCCATTAATTAGATTCCCTCTCTCATAGGCCTTCTTTGGAAAGAAGTTTTATCACTGGAAAATGGAAAGTTTTAATTTTTACTGCAAAAATTCAACAATATATCCAATTACCCAATTAATATAAGCCTGCTATGGTTGAAATGTGTCCCCCGAAGTTCATGTGTTGGGAACAGTCCCCAATGCAACAGTGTTGAGAAGTGGGACCTTTAATAAGTGCTTAGGTCCTGAGGGCTCTGCCCTCATGAATGAATTAATGTCATTATTGCAGGAGTGGGTTAATTATTGTGAGAGAGGCTTTATTATAAAGGCAAGTTTGGCCCCCTCTCACTCTCTGGCTCTTGAGCCTGCTCTCTTGCTCTCTATCTGCTGCCCTCGGATGATGCAGCAAGAAGGCCCTCACCAGATGCAGGCCTCTCGACCTTGGACTTCTCAGCCTCCAGAAATGTAAGAAATAAATTTCTTTTCTTTGCAAATTACTCAGTCTTTGGCATTCTGTTATAGCAACACAAAATGGACTAAGACAATGTCCATTATACAAAAGTGGGAAAAAAGATAATATTTTATATATTTATATAACTAATATATATTTGTTTAATCTGTGCTCCTTTATTGGAATTCTAATTGGTTGCAGTTTTTATTTTTCACTTTAAGTACCAATGATTATGTAAACGGTCTGATACATGCATCCTACGATAAGCAATATCCTTGGATAAATTCCTAGTAGATTTTTAGCATCTAAAATGATGTACTTTTAGAGGATTTTAAAATATGTATTTATAAATTGACTGCCAGGAAGATTAGGATACTTTTAATCTCCCACTATCTGTGAATAAAAGTTCCCGATTTTCTGAACTCTTACCAATATTGGGTCTTATATTTAAAAAAGCTTTGCTAATCTGATAGTTAAAACGTATTTAATTGTTTTAACTTGATTTTCTTTGATAACTAGAGAGGATGAAGATTTTTTTTAAATGCTATTATCTTTTCACATGTATTCTCCTAATGAAATTATACCTTTAGCCTATTTTTCTATTGGGTTGTTAGACTTCTTTGAAAAATGATTTGTAGTAGCTCTTTATTAATTAACGATAAAATCACTTATCCCTTATTTATGTTGGAAATATTTTTCTCAAACTGCTGTTTGCCTTTTAATTTCATTTTATATTTCTGAAAGAATTTAAATTTTTTAGTTAATCAAAAATTCCTTCCTCCTTCTCGCCTGCCTGCCTGCCTGCCTTCCTTCCTTCGCCCTTTCCTTTCTCTTTCCTTCCATCCATCCATCTTTCTATCTGTATTTCTATCTTTCTCTCCCCTCCCTCCCTCTCACCCCCTCTTTCTTTTTCTTCTCGGTCTTTCTCTCTCTCAAGAAAAGGCAAGATACTGGTTAAGTGGGCTCATATATTTTAGAAAGGCCCAAACAGAATTGCCAAGAATTGCATAAGAACGTTCAGTTTCATAAAACCTGTAGTTCTGTAAGAAGGTTCTACCTAGATAATGACAAAATTAGGGATGATTATGTCATTAGGGATGATATAGGCAAATACAAACTCAGCAACCAAAGTCTACAATACGCCATGTGTGAAATGTTTAAAAATTACTGAACAAATGCCATAAAAGAATTGCTTCTTGTCTTTTGGAAGTTAAAAATAAACTAGATGTAGGTTTCTCACTTATGAAAGTAATATGTAATTTTGGTAAAAAATTAAGAAGGCCACCAGTGGCCTTCTCACACTGTAAGAACTCTACCAAATAGTTTCTTTTGTATCCTTTTAGAAAGTTTCTACATATGCACAAAAATAGAGAATATCCCTTAAAACACCTCCTCTATAGATACATGAGATAATACCGAATGTAATATTCTGCAGTTAATTATTTTGTTAATTAATGTTGAATTTTAGACCTCTTTTTACATCGCTACATAAAAATCTACTAGTCTTTACTGTATACAGTAGTATGCTCTATGAATATATCATAGTTTATTTTACTAGATGTTTCTAGATGCTCATTTGATTGGTTCCAGATTTTAAACTTTTATTATTATTATTTTTTAAAGAGATGGGGTCTTGCTATGTTGGCCAGGTTGGTCTTGAATTCCTGACCTCAAGTGATCCTCCCATCTTGGCCTCCCAAAGTGCTAGGATTACAGTCATCATCCACCACGCCTGGCCCTAGTTCTGTATTTTTGTTCTAAGAAAAACTGCTGCAATGTGATTATTATACAGTTAACTCTATTTTTTTTTTTTTTTTGGGATGAGGTGTCACTCTGTCACCCAGGTTGGAGCGTAGTGACATGATCTCGACTCACTGCAACCCCTGCCTCCTAGGCTCAAGAGATCCTCTCACCTCGGCCTTTGAGTAGCTGAGACCACAAGCACATGCCACCACACCCTGCTAATTTTTGTATTTATTGGTAGGTATGGGGTTTCACCATGTTGCCCAGGCTGGTCTCAAATTCCTGAGCTCAGGCAATACACCTGTCTTGGCCTCCCAAACTGCTGGGATTATAGGTGTGAGCCACTGTGCCCAGCCTATTGTAAAGTTAACTCTTGAACAACACAGGTTTGAACTCTGTGCGTCTGCTTATAAGTAGATTGTCTTCCACTTCTGCGACCCGTGAGACAGTAAGACCAACCCCTCCTCGCCTTCCTCAGCCTACTCAACATGAAGATGATGAGGATGAAGACCATTATGATGATGCACTTCCATTTAATAAACAGTAAATATATTTTCTTTTTTCATGATTTTCTTTCTGTTTTTTTTTTTTTTTTTTTTTTTTTTTTTTTTTTTTCGGAAGGGGAGTTTCACTCTTTTTGTCCAGGCTGGAGTGCAATGGTGTGATCTCAGCTCACTGCAACCTCTGCCTCCCGGATTCTAGCGATTCTTTTGTCTCAGCCTCCCGAGTAGCTGGGATTACAGGTATGTGCCACCACGCCCAGCTAATTTTGTATTTTTAGTAGAGATGAGGTTTCACCATGTTGGTCAGGCTGGTCTCGAACTCCTGACCTCAGATGATCCGCCCACCTTGGCATCCCAAAGTGTTGGGATTACAGGCGTGAGCCACTGTGCCCTGCCGATTTTCTTAATAACATTTTCTTTTATCTAGCTTAATTTATTGTAAAAACATAGTGTATAATACATGTGAAATATAAAATATGTTTTAATCAATTGTTAATGGTTTCAGTAAGGCTCTGGTCAACAGTAGGTTTTTTGGCAAGCCAAAAGTTATATATGAATTTTTGCATGGGAGAGTCAGCACCCCTAACCACTGCATTGTTCAATGGTCAATTGTATTTATATTTATTGTATATTCGTCAAGAAATTTGTGGATAAAATCTCTGAAGTAAATTCTTGCAATAGAAAGTATGTGCATGTAAAACTTTGGAAGAGCTCTCAAAATATGGTGCCAATTCATTTCCTTACTGACAGTGTATACAAATATAGAGGAAAGCTTAACATGTATATTTCAATTAAAAATTGTTCACAAAATAGATCAGATTTGCCTAGTTTCAAACCAGAGTGCTACACCAGGCTCCTAGAAGCAGAAGTCAATGAGAGACTAATGCAGAAATTATTGAAAAATCAGAATTATTTCAGAAAATAGGCTAAGTAGACATTAAGTCCCTCGGTTTTCCATTTTTGAGTCATAGCTCTTGCATAATTTTCCTTGGGAGATTGTTTCTAATATTTCTCTTTTTAATAATTTCAGCTTTTATTTTAGATTCAGGGGGTACATATGCAGGTTTGTTACCTGGGTATATATTGCACGATGCTGAGGTTTGGGGTACACTTGATCCCGTCACCCAGGCACTGAGCATAGTACCCAATAGTTAGTCTTTCAATCCTCGCCTCCCTTCCCTTCCTCTCTGCTCTAGTAGTCCCCAGTGTTTATTGTTGCCATCTTCACGTCCAAGTATACTCAATGTTTATAATTTATAAATGAGAACATGCGATATTTGATTTGCTGTGTTCCTGTGTGAATTCGCTTTGTTTCTGATATTTCAGTCACATATTTTGTTGGCTATTCATTTCCCTTCCTTTGAGTTACTTCTGTTTGCCCTGACTTAATTCCCTTTTAATCATATTGAATAATTTCTCTCATTTCCTTTAGGAGTTATTTGTTTTCTCCATTTCTCAGGTACTGCCTAATTATTTGCTCTGTGGGTGTGGGTGCCTTCATGCCTTCATGCTTTCGTATTTGCCTACCTCAATTCAATGATAGTGCCACTCAATATTATCTTCAAATGTTTCAGTATTTTCCTTGATCAGTAGAGCTTTATGCATGTGTGAGATTAGTGGTCAAAGTAATAATTATTTATAAGACCTAATGTGATTAATTTTGTTATTTCCATTATGAATGTAAATAATAATGTATCTCAATTCAGATGTGATCTTCTTATGTAAGTCGTTTGTTTGATAAAACATAATCTCTATAAGTAATTAATGTTCACATTCTTTTCTTTTTTAAAAACCACTTTTTCAGGGTATGAGCTGTACGTATAAGAATACACCTGTGGGGCCGGGCATGGTGGCTCATGCCTGTAATCCCGGCACTTTGGGAGGCGAGGGCAGATAACTTGAGGTCAGGAGTTCGAGACAAGCCTGGGCAACGTGGTGAAACCCCGTCTCTACTAAAAAATACAAAAATTAGCTGGATGTGGTGGCACATACCTGTAGTCCCAGCTACTGGGGAGGCTGAGGCGTGAGAATTGTTTGAACCTGGGAGGCAGGGGTTGCAGTGAGTCGAGATCACGCCACTGCACTCCAGCCTAGGTGACGGAGCAAGACTCTGTCTCAAAAACAACAAAAAAAATACACCTATGAAACCATCACCACAATTTATGCCATAAACATACCCATAACATACCCATATGCATCACCTCAAAAAGTTGCCTCCTACTCTCTTTATTATTTTTATGATAAGAACACTTAATATAAGATCTATTCTCTTAGCAAATTTGTAAGTAGACAATATAGTATTGTTATTGTTTACATTCTTTATGAGCATTCACTAATGACTTTTCAAAATAATTCTGACAGCTTTACATTTCATATATTATTAAGCAATCTGTATAGTGAGCTTGTTTATTTGGATAAGACAAGTTCAGTTTTGTGGAAAATTTTAGGTTGAGATCTGACAGCAATAAAAATATGGTAACAAGTATTAACAATTTTTACCTCTGGATAGCGGGGAGTTCTTTTTATTTTTTTTGCTTAACTAAGTTTAAAAATTTATTAATAATAACCACATATGGCTTTGTTTAAAAAATAAATAACATTTTAAACACAGTGTGTTTTTCTACAGAACTCAGAGACGATCCATGGAAAGAAAAAGAAAGGAGTGTAGAGTGTATGAGATGCTGGCTCACAATTTATGATTCTGTTCCTTCAGTGATTCTTAAGGGAGTTGAGCAAAAATAATTTTTATGTCCTTTATTCTTTCGAGAAATGGATTATTTAAGCAGGTGAACTACTTAATTTTTCAAATTTTATGACCTTGTATATGGAAAAAAAACAAACCGTGAACACTAGAGACTTTCCACTTGCAAAATAGCCTTTTCAGGTTTTCCTGAGCAGAATTCTGCCCATTCCAAAATGAATATATACTAAGCATCTACATTAATTTGCTAGGGCTGCCATAATAAAGTTTACAAACTGAGTTGATTAAATAACAAATTCATTTTCTAACAGTTCTGGAGGCTAGAAGTCCAAGATCATGGTGTTGGCAGATTCTTTCTGAAGGCCATCTTCTTTTTAATTATTTCAATAGTTTTTGGGGTACAGGTAGTTTTTGGTTACATGGATGAGTTCTTTAGTGGTGATTTCTAAGATTTTAGTGTACCCATCACCTGAGCAGTGTACACTGTACCTAATATGTAGTCTTCTCTCACCCTCTTTAACCTTCTCCCTCCCCCAAGTTTCCGAAGTCCATTATATCATTCTTATGGCTTTGTGTTCTCATAGCTTAGCTCCCACTTAAAAGTGAGAACATACAATATTTGCTTTTCCATTCCTGAGTTACTTCACTTAGAATAATGGCCTCCAGCTCCATCCAAGTTGCTTCAAAATACATTAGTTCTTTTTATGGCTGAGTAGTATTCCATGGCGTATATATACCACATTTTCTTTATCTACTTGTTGGTCAGTGGGTACTTAGGTTGGCTCCATATCTCTGCAATTGTGAATTGTGCTGCTGTAAAAATGCATGTACATGTGTCTTTTTCATATAGTGACTCCTGTTCGTTTGGGTAGATACCCAGTAGTGGGTTTGCTGGATTGAATGGTAGATCTACTTTTAGTTCTTCAAGGAATCTGCATACTTTTTCCATAGTGGTTGTACTGATTTCCATACTCATCAGCAGTGTAAAATTGTTCCCTTTTCACCACATCCACACCAACATCTATTATTTTTTGACTTTCTAATTATGGCCATTCTTGCAGGCGTAAGGTGGTATCTCATTGTGGTTTTAATTTGCATTTCCCTGATGGTTAGTAATGTTGAGCATTATTTTTGTATGTTCATTGGCTGTTTGTACACTGAAGGCCATCTTCTCTTTGTGTGTTCACATAGTCTTTCACCTGCCTGTGTCTGTGTCCAAATTTCCTCTTCTTAAAAGAACATCAGTCATACTGGGTTAAGACCCACCATAATGATCTCATTTTAACTTCATTCTGTGAAGACCCTCTCTCCATAAAAGGTCACATTCTGAAGTACTGGAGTTAGGACTTCAACCTCTGAATTTGGGGCTGGGGGAACACAATTCAATCCATAACAACATCTGAAAAACTTTCCTCTCTGTTGAGAAGCTCTTTGGTTCTATAACCACATAGTGGATGTCATATGGTGGTATTTAACTTTTTTTTGAGTTAGGAATTTTTTTGAAAATGAAAAGTAGGGGCTTGGAACCCAGAAAAAAGCACATATATATTAAGTTTCACATCAAGGAGTTTACAGACAGCTACCCCTATCCTCAATCTCTTTCTCTCTATGGACCCCTAGGATCAAGAACCCTGGTACAAATGCTATTACAACCACGAAGTCAGGGAATTCAGTGATCAAATCCATCAGCTAGCTCTTTGTAAGTCACACAACTTAGCAAGGTTCATCAGTACTAGGTTACAGTTTTATTTATTTATTTATTTATTTATTTATTTATTTATTTATTAGGTTTTGGAGCACTGTTCTTCAGTATTTTTTTCTTTTCTTTTATTTTATTATTATTATACTTTAAGTTTTAGGGTACGTGTGCACAATGTGCAGGTTAGTTACATATGTATACATGTGCCATGCTGGTGTGCTGCACCCATTAACTCGTCATTTAGCATTAGGTATATCTCCTAAAGCTATCCCTCCCCCCTCCCCCCACCCCACAACAGTTCCCAGAGTGTGATGTTCCCCTTCCTGTGTCCATGTGTTCTCATTGTTCAATTCCCACCTATGAGTGAGAACATGCGGTGTTTGGTTTTTTGTCCTTGCGATAGTTTACTGAGAATGATGATTTCCAATTTCATCCATGTCCCTACAAAGGACATGAACTCATTATTTTTTATGGCTGCATAGTATTCCATGGTGTATATGTGCCACATTTTCTTAATCCAGTCTATCATTGTTGGACATTTGGGTTGGTTCCAAGACTTTGCTATTGTGAACAGTGCCACAATAAGCATACGTGTGCATGTGTCTTTATAGCAGCATGATTTATAGTCCTTTGGGTATATACCCAGTAATGGGATGGCTGGGTCAAATGGTATTTCTAGTTCTGGATCCCTGAGGAATCGCCACACTGACTTCCACAATGGTTGAACTAGTTTACAGTCCCACCAACAGTGTAAAAGTGTTACTATTTCTCCACATCCTCTTCAGCACCTGTTGTTTGCTGACTTTTTAATGATTGCCATTCTAACTGGTGTGAGATGGTATCGTATTGTGGTTTTGATTTGATGGCCAGTGATGGTGAGCATTTTTTCATGTGTTTTTTGGCTGCATAAATGTCTTCTTTTGAGAAGTGTCTGTTCATGTCCTTCGCCCACTTTTTGATGGGGTTGTTTGTTTTTTTCTTGTAAATTTGTTTGAATTCATTGTAGATTCTGGATATTAGCCCTTTGTCAGATGAGTAGGTTGCCAAAATTTTCTCCCATTTTGTAGGTTGCCTGTTCACTCTGATGGTAGTTTCTTTTGCTGTGCAGAAGCTCTTGAGTTTAATTAGATCCCATTTGTCAATTTTGGCTTTTGTTGCCATTGCTTTTGGTGTTGTAGACATGAAGTCCTTGCCCATGCCTATGTCCTGAATGGTAATGCCTAGGTTTTCTTCTAGGGTTTTTATGGTTTTAGGTCTAACGTTTAAGTCTTTAATCCATCTTGAATTAATTTTTGTATAAGGTGTAAGGAAGGGATCCAGTTTCAGCTTTCTACATATGGCTAGCCAGTTTTCCCAGCACCATTTATTAAATAGGGAATCCTTTCCCCATTTCTTGTTTTTGTCAGGTTTGTCAAAGATCAGATAGTTGTAGATATGCGGCGTTATTTCTGAGGGCTCTGTTCTGTTCCATTGATCTATATCTCTGTTTTGGTACCAGTACCATGCTGTTTTGGTTACTGTAGCCTTGTAGTATAGTTGGAAGTCAGGTAGTGTGATGCCTCCAGCTTTGTTCTTTTGGCTTAGGATTGACTTGGCGATGTGGGCTGTTTTTTGGTTCCATATGAACTTTAAAGTAGTTTTTTCCAATTCTGTGAAGAAAGTCATTGGTAGCTTGATGGGGATGGCATTGAATCTATAAATTACCTTGGGCAGTATGGCCATTTTCATGATATTGATTCTTCCTGCCCATGAGCATGGAATATTCTTCCATTTGTTTGTATCTTCTTTTATTTCATTGAGCAGTGGTTTGTAGTTCTCCTTAAAGAGGTCCTTCATGTCCCTTGTAAGTTGGATTCCTAGGTATTTTATTCTATTTGAAGCAATTGTGAATGGGAGTTCACTCATGATTTGGCTCTCTGTGTGTCTGTTATTGGTGTATAAGAATGCTTGTGATTTTTGTACATTGATTTTGTATCCTGAGACTTTGCTGAAGTTGCTTATCAGCTTAAGGAGATTTTGGGCTGAGACAATGGGGTTTTCTAGATATACAATCATGTCATCTGCAAACAGGGACAATTTGACTTCCTCTTTTCCTAAATGTATACCCTTTATTTCCTTCTCCTGCCTAATTGCCCTGGCCAGTACTTCCAACACTATGTTGAATAGGAGTAGTGAGAGAGGGCATCCCTGTCTTGTGCCAGTTTTCAAAGGGAATGCTTCCAGTTTTTGCCCATTCAGTATGATATTGGCTGTGGGTTTGTCATAGATAGCTCTTATTATTTTGAGATACGTCCCATCAATACCTAATTAATTGAGAGATTTTAGCATGAAAGGTTGTTGAATTTTGTCAAAGGCCTTTTCTGCATCTATTGAGATAATCATGTGGTTTTTGTCTTTGGTTCTGTTTATATGCTGGATTACATTTATTGATTTGTGTATATTGAACCAGCCTTGCGTCCCAGGGATGAAGCCCACTTGATCATGGTGGATAAGCTTTTTGATGTGCTGCTGGATTCGGTTTGCCAGTATTTTATTGAGGATTTTTGCATCAATGTTCATCAAGGATATTGGTCTAAAATTCTCTTTTTTGGTTGTGTCTCTGCCCGGCTTTGGTATCAGGATGATGCTGGCCTCATAAAATGAGTTAGGGAGGATTCCCTCTTTTTCTATTGATTTGAATAGTTTCAGAAGGAATGGTACCAGTTCCTCCTTGTACCTCTGGTAGAATTCGGCTGTGAATCCATCTAGTCCTGGACTCTTTTTGGTTGGTAAGCTATTGATTATTGCCACAATTTCAGAGCCTGTTATTGGTCTATTCAGAGAGTCAACTTCTTCCTGGTTTAGTCTTGGGAGGGTGTATGTGTCAAGGAATTTATACATTTCTTCTAGATTTTCTAGTTTATTTACGTAGAGGTGTTTGTAGTATTCTCTGATGATAGTTTGTATTTCTGTGGGATTGGTGGTGATATCCCTTTTATCATTTTTTATTTCATCTATTTGATTCTTCTCTCTTTTCTTTTTTATTAGTCTTGCTAGCGGTCTATCAATTTTGTTGATCCTTTCAAAAAACGAGCTCCTGGATTCATTAATTTTTTGAAGGGTTTTTTGTGTCTCTATTTCCTTCAGTTCTTCTCTGATCTTAGTTACTTCTTGCCTTCTGCTAGCTTTTGAATGTGTTTGCTCTTGCTTTTCTAGTTCTTTTAATTGTGATGTTAGGGCGTCAATTTTGGATCTTTCCTGCTTTCTCTTGTGGGCATTTAGTGCTATAAATTTCCCTCTACACACTGCTTTGAATGTGTCCCAGAGATTCTGGTATGTTGTGTCCTTGTTCTCGTTGGTTTCAAAGAACATCTTTATTTCTGCCTTCATTTCATTATGTACCCAGTAGTCATTCAGGAGCAGGTTGTTCAGTTTCCATGTAGTTGAGGGGTTTTGAATGAGTTTCTTAATCCTGAGTTATAGCACTAAACATGGAAAGGAACAACTGGTACCAGCCACTGCAAAATCTTGCCAAATCGTAAAGACCATCGAGGCTAGGAAGAAACTGCATCAACTAATGAGCAAAATAACCAGCTAACTTCATAATGACAGGATCAAATTCACACATAACAATATTAACTTTAAATGTAAATGGACTAAATGCTCCAATTAAAAGACACAGACAGGCAAATTGGATAAAGAGTCAAGACCCATCAGTGTGCTGTATTCAGGAAACCCATCTCATGTGCAGAGACACACATAGGCTCAAAATAAAAGAATGTAGGAAGATCTACCAAGCAAATGGAAAACAAAAAAAGGCAGGGGCTGCAATCCTAGTCTCTGATAAAACAGACTTTAAACCAACAAAGATCAAAAGAGACAAAGAAGGCCATTACATAATGGTAAAGGGATCAATTCAACAAGAAGAGCTAACTATCCTAAATATATATGCACCCAATACAGGAGCACCCAGATTCATAAAGCAAGTCCTGAGTGACCTACAAAGAGACTTAGACTCCCACACAATAATAATGGGAGACTTGAACACCCCACTGTCAACATTAGACAGATCAACGAGACAGAAAGTTAACAAGGACACCCAGGAATTGAACTCAGCTCTGCACCAAGCAGACCTAACAGACATCTACAGAACTCTCCACCCCAAATCAACAGAATATACATTTTTTTTCAGCACCACACCACACCTATTCCAAAATTGACCACATAGTTGGAAGTAAAGCTCTCCTCAGCAAATGTAAAAGAACAGAAATTATAAGAAACTGTCTCTCAGACCACAGTGCAATCAAACTAGAACTCAGGATTAAGTTACAGTTTTATATCTTTCACCTGAATATTGATAATTGAAGGAATTGAAAGCAGTCCTGTAAAACTCACCCTCAGTCCAGCACAGGTCAGCAGCTCTTCCAAATGACTGGAACAGTTCTCTCAGATTCTAAAGATGTCTCCTGATGCCAGATTTTAAGCACAGATCAATTGTGAGGGATGACAGTCCTGCTTTTCGGCATTCCCTGGGTTTGAGCCTATTAAGGATGAGATGCAGCTATGCTTGGTTACATCTGGAACACCATTGAGGTGTGGTCCACCTTTGGTTAGTCGTGGATAAGGGAAATGTTGGCTAATTGGGTGGACTTTCCAGTTAGGGTTCTTTTCCATATAGAACCCATCAATGCATGAGGCTCAAAAGGAATTTAATATTACTTGAAACTGGGTCAGAGTTCCCGGGCCTGGGCCTCTAATCAGTTCCTGAAAATGAGGAGGATTAAGGCATCTTTAGCCGTGTTATCATTTGTAAATAAAGAAGGTGGAAAAATTAAAGTCAGTATTTATAGAAGTGAGCTTGAGACGGGCCCTGTGCCATGTCTATAGAGCTTCCTATAGAATATGTGGACTTGAATTAATGTCTGGGCCTGGTGCTGAGAATATCTGAATGGTCCTGTTTTTTTTTTTCTGGTACATTATAAGAATGTTTCCATCTGAGGCCAGTTCCTCACTTTTTGTTTTGTTAGTGCACCCCTTTGCAGGGTTTGTGAGGAAAAGTTATTAATATTTGGGTTCATTTTATTTCAGTGTTCTGAAACATTATGTGGTTCTAACTTTTGCCTTACAATTCATGTAGATTTAAGTCAATTGTTAAAACAAAATTTAAAATGCTTAGTCAAGAATACAATGAAACTGGAAATCACATAAAATTCTGCAGTATATAGCTACATCAAAATTTTGTATACAGGTGAGAAATACAGTAAAACAAAAAGAAGCTTACAAATATACCAGAAAATTTTAAATTAAATTATAAATTTTGAATGGCTCTGTAGTTTTATATGAATGTATTTTATTTTCTTTGTCTTTTTATTCATGTGAAAATTTATGTACTTTTAAACCTATGTTGTTTTAATATGTTTTTTCTGGAAATTAATTGCCCACCAAAAATTAACAAAATCTACTTTTACTAAAAAAAATTGATTCAATAAAGTATGAAATAAACCTATGTAATACATAAAACTAACTTATTTAAAGAAGGGAATTAGAGATCCTATACTTGATAAGTGAAATCAGTATCAATGTATTAATATTTTTATTTCTTTACTTAACTATAAAAACCTTTTCAATGTACTGGTTTTTTTTTGTGACTTCATCAACCTGTCTGTGCTATTTAGGTGAAAAAACTCACGAATATACAAAATTAATGTTTTTTTCTTCCTAACAAGACTCTTAGGAAAAGGTTTATGGGTTTGACATTACATTAAATACTCAAAACAATGCTAATAGATGAAACAGTTATCAACTTTTAACCTTACTAATGGAAATAGTATTTACAGTTTTGGGTACAGATGGCAAGAGTTCCTTAGGATTAATTTTTAAAAAAAACCTGACTTAAGAGTTTATTTGGATTTCATCAGTTTTCCTACTAATGTGTTTTTTCTGTTCCAGGAGTCAAGCCAAGATACCTCATTGCATTTACAGTGCATTTTATTTTAGTCATTTCTATTGTTCCCATATTTTATAATAATTGCCAAGCAGCAGAAATCCTGACCATTGTGTGTGTGTGTGTGTGTGTGTGTGTGTTTGTGTGTGTGTGCTGGGATATTTTTTTTCCCTCTTCTATGGCAGAATGGTAAAAGTCATCTTTTGGGATTTATGGGATTTGGAATCAAAGTGACCTGAATTGTTTTAAAGTGACCTAAATTTTAATCCCAATTTTGCTACTTAATGTTGGGGCATTGATTACATCACCTACGCTCTCTAAATTTAAGTTTCTTCATCTGTAAAATAGAAACAAAAATGATAATAATACCTATCTCAGTTAGTTGTAAGGACTGTATATGAATATACAATAAACTGCAGTAGTGATTGTTGCTATTATAATTACTTATTGTCTTGTGAAGATACTAAAAGAAAGAAAATTATCTAGAGAACAGATTGTCAAGGATGATTTTTAAGAATGGGGGCGGAGGAATGGCACAGAAAAACCACAACTTGAAAAATCAACTCTGAAATAATCAAGAATCAATTGCTTGGTAAAATTAAGAAGGTTTTCTATTTCTTGCCAGCATATTTATATCAAAATGTGTAACATGGGGCCTGTTTTGTTACTTGGCATGTTCCCGGCCATTTGTAAAGAAAATGTTCAGCAGCTGTTGCTCTGGGAGGCAGATGGATGGATGACATTTGTGAATTGTATTTTTCTGATGGAGAAACTGAGGTACCAAGTGGTTAATTGTTTTTCCCAACCTTCCACATCCATGAAACATCAAATTTGAAATTACAGTTCATGAATATCTTCTGCCTTGCTCGCAGGGAGGCCAGCTGAAGAGTGGGGCTTTTGTGTTTGGTACAGATGGCCAACTGGTAGTGCTTACCAGGGCTTCCCTCCCCTGCAGCCCCCCACCCTCAAGTGACAGCTTTTTGCATCTTCTTGTCTAATTAAACTACCAACAGAGAATGCCAGTTATCTGCTTGTGTGACACCTCTGAATATTAAGTAGCCTTTGTAATTAATTATTTTTTGAAAGGCTTGATCCTCCATAATTAAATAAATCTTTGAGAATTAATAATAGGTTAGCACAGTATATGGACTGAAAAACACCATGAGTGACAACTTGGCTGTGAGGGAAGAATTTTGCATCCAATATAGTGTCTTTATTGATCAATGTTTGAGGCTCTGAATGCTCCCAATACTAACATCACAATGTTATTTCTTTCTCTGTATTCCTGTGCACCCAAGTAGAACCAATAGTTCTGCACAGGGCAAGATATAAAAATGCAGGTTGGCTTAAATATCTTACTGCCCAACAGGGCAGTCTGTGTAGTACAGGAGAATATGCTGCAAGCAGCTGTCTGGCTCGGGTCGCCCTTAGAGTTGTGACTGTGATGCTGTTCAGTAACTTTTGTGTCTTTCTGTGCTGGCAGTGACATGGAGACCAGATAATGGATGCTGGCAAGATCTGGGAATCAAAGCCATGGAAAGGGTGCCATTGGTCAGGTGACCGTGTTCTCTGAAGAGCTTGTGGGGTTTTGCAGACAGGGCTGGCTCACCCCAGAGGACAATCTAGTAATCTAGTATGTCATCACTAGTAGATCTAGATGAGGAGCCTGCCTTTTTTTTTTTTTTTTTGCCTTGGTGGGGTCAGACAGCTGGGGAAGCAGAACAGACCTGCTGCGGCAGGGGTATTCTGTCTCTGGGACCCGGCATCATGTGATTTGGTTTGTTTGATGAAGTTGTTTAATATTAATCTTTAGGGGTCTAGGCTGTTTGCTGCTCAAATTGTATAGCACAAGTGTTTAACCAGAAGTAGGGCGGTGGAAGGGACTGTGAGTAGAGTTAGGTGAGCAAAAGTAGAAAATGGGTTATACCCATGTGTACATTTACAGACGATTTCCTGTCCGTTCCTTTCACCTTCTCCCCTTCTCTTTCCTCCTTCCTGCTTTCCCAATCGCGGCCTTTCTCCTTGTCTATGTGTCCTGAGTTTGTATTCTTGTTTGGTTGGCATCAGCATTGTCTTGCTTAGATTTTATCTTTGAGAGTAGTGGGATTAGCATTATAGAATTTTAGATGTAAGTGATGTCTTGGGAGTTCTGGATAAGCCATGGAGACTCTTATGGATTCTGAAAAGATTCCAGGTTCCTCCCAGGGGTTTGACTTTTTGCTAGATAAACTCAGAGAACCTGTGCAAATGCAAATTAGCAGGAACCCGAGGAGTTCTTACCAGTCCAAGGGAGGCAGGATAGCCTAGGGATGAAGATCATAGCTGATCAAGTTAGACAGCGGGGGCGATCCCAGCTCCACCATCCTGTTTTGTTGCCCTGAGTAAAATTCTAGCTGTAAAATGAGGTAATAACAGGTATTCCACATAGGACTGCTGTTTACAATAGCAAAGTCATGAAACCAACCTGAGCGTCCACCAACAGTTGGTTGGATAAAAAAAAATGGTGTGTGTATAATATATAGTATACACGATGGAATACCACACAGCCACAAAAAAGAATGAAATCATGTCCTTTGCAGCAATATGGATGGAGCTGGAGGCCATTATCCTGGTGAACTAATAAAGAAGCAGAAAATCACATATCATATGTTTTCACTTATAAGTGGGAGCTAAATAAGGGTGCACATGGACATAAAGATGGGGAAAATAGGCTCTGAGGACTCCAAAGCGGGTAGAGTGGGAGGAAGGTAAGGGTTGAAAAATTACCTACTGGATACAATGTTCAATATTTGGGTGATGGGTACACCAGGAGCCCAACCCCCATCATTACCCATGTAATACTCATGCAACAAACAAGCACACGTTCCCCCTCAATCTAAAATTAAAACAAAACAAAACAAAGCAAAAACCTAGGAGTGCTATCTGGCTCAGAAACTTAGGTGTAAGGATAATGGTTTTCATGATAATTATCATTGTAATAATTTATATACATTGAATGATGTGTACTCCATATATCTTGTCTTTTGACATAGTAGTTAATTTCGAATAAGTACTATATCTGTATGGCTTAAAATTAAAAAATTATAAGAGAGATTTAGTAAAAATTTCCTTCCTTCCTTCTACTGAGTTACCATCTCCCAGATAAATAAATAATGACTGCTTTTCATTTCTTGCATAACCTCCCAGAGATGTTTTACACATAAACAAGAAAATATGAATATATATACATACATACAGCTAGAGAGAATATATCTTTTCCCCCACTTCATGGCACAAATAGTAGCACATTCTACATTGTTCTTCACTTCCTGCTTTGTCTTTAGTTAATCCTTACAGCAGTCCTACACGGAATAGCTGTTATTACCTCATTTTACAATTAGAATTCCGCTCTAGCTGAGTAGTTTGCTCAGGGTAACATAGCAGGATGGTGGAGCTGGGATCACCCCCGCTGTCTAACTTGATCAGCTACGATCTTCATCACTGGGCGGTCCTGCCTCACTCAGGCTGGTATGGTCTCCCCAGGGTTCCTCCTGATTTGCACAAGTTCTCCAGGGAACCCCATGTGGTACTGACTGTAACCACAGACTCCAGCCAATAGTTAGGAGTGGCAAGACTCATTCAGCTCTGCACCAGTTGGCAATTTTTCCCATGAAGTAATGATTTTTAAAAACTGTAGTCAAATACACACATAACACATAAAACTTACCATTTTAACCAAGTTGAAGTGTGCAGTTTAGTGTTAAGTACATTCCCATTGTTGTGAAACTTATCTCCAGAACCCTTTTCATTTTGTAACACTGAATTTCTATACTCATTAAACAACTGTCCATTCTCCCCTTCACCAGCCGCTGGTAACCACCCTTCCACTCTGTGTCGCTAAGAATTTGACTACACTAGGTACTTCCTATAGGTGGAATAACACTGTATTGTTTTTTTGTGACTGGCTTATTTCACTTAGTGTAATGTCCCCCAGGTTCATCCATGTTGTAGCATGTGTGAGATTTTTCCTTTTAAAAGCTGAATAAGATTCCAGTGTATATGCCACATTTTGTTTATCCATTCATCCATTGATGTACACTTGGGTAGATTCCATCTTTTGACTTTTGTGAATAATGCTGCTATGAACATGGGTGTACTAATATCTGTTCGGGTCCCTGCCTTCAATTCTTTTGGGTTATATACCCAGAAGTGGAATTTCTAGATCAGGTGGCAATTCCATTTTTTATTTTTTGAGGAACTTACCATACTGTTTCCACAGTGCCTACACTAGTTACATCCTTACCGTCAGTGCCTAAGAGTTCCAACTTCTCCATATCCTTGCTTACACTGTTATTACTATTTTTTTTAATAGCAGTCATCTTAATGGGTGTGAGGTAGCATTTTTTATAGCATGCCATTAAACATATTTCTTAATTCTTGTATTGGGCACACATGCCATAGAATTCAGAGTTCTTTTCACCTCAGGCCCTCCCCCCTACTTTTTTTTTTTGTAGAGATGGGGTCTCACCATGTTGCCCAGGCTGGTCTCAAGCTCCAGGGGTATAGCAGTCCTCTTGCCTCAGCCTCCCAAAGGCCTGGGATTATAGGTGTGAGCCACCACACCCAGCCAGGCTCCCTCTTGAAGGCAGGGAAAGGGCCTGTGGAGGAACATCCAGCTTAAGGCCAGGCGAGGCTGGCAGCTCAGCCCAGCACACCTGCTCAGATCCCCTCCACCCACCAGGGGCCCTTGGTGGGCTCACTGTGACTTAGTGTGGCTACATCTCTTTGTTTGTTATTTTCCAGCAGAGAGGCTTTCCTGACCTTTGCCAAAAAGAGAGGATGGGCTTCCAAATGCAGAGGAGCCATTTCCATCTCAAAGGTAACTCACATTCTCCATCCTTCCTGGGTAATTGCTTGTTTTGTTAAAGTTTTCATTCAATAAGCCAAGTCTTTGTGAGATATGTCCACACTCCACTTCACAGTGTCTTTTTTTTTTTTTTTTTCGGATGAGTCTCACTGTTGTCACCCAGGCTGGAGTGCAATGGCACGATCTTGGCTCACTGCAACATCTGCCTCCCCAGTTCTAGCAATTCTCCTGTCTCAGCCTCCCCAGTAGCTGAGATTACAGGCACCCACCACCACGCCTGCCTAATTTTTGTATTTTTAGCACAGATGGGGTCTCACCATGTTGGCCAGGCTGGTGTCAAACTCCTGACCTCAGGTGATCCACCCACTTTGGCCTCCCAAAGTGCTGAGATAACAGGCGTGAGCCACCATGCCTGGCCCACTGTGTCGTTTTAAAAAATCCTCCCTGAAAGAAGATGGCAATATTTTTCTCCTGCAATGTAACGCTGCAGGGTATATCATGTCTTATGCAGACTCCCCAGGTCAGTGACTCAGTTGGACAATTTATTTATTTTTAATTTGTTTTATATTTCAACAGGTTTTTAGGGAGCAGCTGGTATTTCGTTACATGAATAACTTCTTTAGTGATGATTTCTGAGATTTTGGTGCTCCCACCACATGAACAGTATACACTGTACCCAATATGTAGTCTTTTGTCCCTCACCCCCTTCTCACCCTTTCCCCCAAGTCCCCAAAGTCCACTGTGTCATTCTTATGCCTTTGCGTTCTCATAGCTTAGCTTCCACTTATGAGTGAGAACATACAATGTTTGGTTTTCCTTCCTGAGTTACTTCACTTTGAATAATAGTCTCCAATTCCATCAGGTTGCTGCAAATGCCATTATTTCATTCCTTTTTATGGCTGAGTAATATTTCATGATATGTATATAAATATACACACACACACATATATACATATACATATATACATATACATTTACTACATTTTCTTTATCAACTTATTGATTGATGGGCATTTGGGCTGGTTCTATATTTTTGCAATTGCAAATTGTGCTGCTAGAAACACGCATGTGCAAGTATCTTTTTCATATAATGATTTCTTTTCCTCTGGGTAGATAGCCAATAGTGGGATTGCTGCATCAAATAGTAGATCTACTTTTAGTTCTTTAAGGAATCTCCATACTGTTTTCCATAATGGTTGTACTAGTTTACATTCCCACCAGCAGTGCAAAAGTGTTCTCTTTTCACTGCATCTATGCCATCGGTCGGGCAATTGAAATGAGCCATTTTTTCTCATCTCTGGAAATGTTTTCTGGAAATGAGTAGGTGGCTTGAATCACTTAGGGACCAAGAATGGCCTGCGCTCAGTACCACAGTGAGGTATTTGTCTGTATTCCAAGCCTTCACCTCTACATCTCCTCCAAGGCTAGTGGTCACTAGGAAGGAGGCGGAGCACCTTAGTGTGTAGTGCAGTCTATTCTC